>NC_000010.11:87415822-87567337 GCF_000001405.40 Homo sapiens
TTTTGTAAGTAGTATTTTGTCCAACAAATAAATTTATCTCAAATTCTTCTTGACTTTCCTCCATTATAGAGCCAGCAATTCTACGTGTAACTCTACCTCTAATTCCTTTATTTGCATTTATTTCTGCTTTCAAACCCTTATATGAGGCAAGTGGGATTAATTTATTTCATTACCTTAACTAGATTCATTGCTTTACTTTGTCAAACTCTGATTGATTTGCTCAACTCAATCTTATGTGTTCAAGAACTTAATGTGGATTCCTGTTCCACCTTATGAAAGTCTTTTCCAAAAACTTGCTAAATTCTTGACTCAAGACATTCCAGTCAGTAATGCATTTCTCTCCTCAAATACAATGGAACTGTGTTCTAATAAGTACTCTTCAACAATGTGCAGTTATTTCTCCACAACTATCAATTCCCCTTTAAGCAGAATTTTACTAAAAATGGCTTTATCCTTCTGGGGATAATCAGTAAAATGGCAATTGGTGGGCGAATTAAAAATATATTAAAAGCAGATGGCAGAACATGAGTGCAGATTTTTACTACAAAGCTTAGGAAAAGCAAAAGGAACTTGAATAGAGAAAATGCAGAAAAGCCCTCCTTTGGCTATTAGGACGGAGAGAGCAGAAGTATGTTTAGAGCTTCAAAGAGTCTGACTCTTTGCAACTGTTTATCTTAGGACTTTAAGGAAGTAAAAGGTGCAAGTGAAACACTCTGGATTATAAAATAGAATCTGACACAGAGGATTCAACCCAGTTAATATGCATGTTGCTCACATGGAAATGCTGAGAAATTTTTAGCAAATAGATAGAAAATGACAGATGGTAGGTATATAGAAAATAATTGTAGGAAAAAATGTAAAATGAAGACGTATGGTATTCCTTTTATATTTTATTTTGTTAATATGTTGCCCATATTGCTTTATTTCAAAGAATGCAAAACCAAAAAAGTAGTTCCTTCCTAACTTCCCCTGCAGCCTTGTCTTGTGGAGCTTGTATTTTACTTCATGAGAAATGCCAAGGAGATGTCATTTAAGCTGAAACCTCCAGCAGAATTAGCCACAATATTTGGGAAAAAGATGTTTCCAGAAAAAGAAAGAGCTAGTATAAATGTCCTTAGGCAAGAAGGAGCTCACGATGATTGAGGAACAACAACAAAAAAGATTATTTCACTCAAGAAAAGTGAATTGGGAGTACAGATATAAATGATGAGGTCTGAATATGATTCATGGGGCAGGTCACACTAGGGTGTTTGGGTGTGGTCTAAATGAATGCGCGGCATGAGTTGTTTTAAGGAGAGGAGTGACATGATTTGACAAGTTCTTAAGAGATCCCTTTGATTACTCTGGGGAGAATAGAAATAAAGTAGCAGAAATGAAAGCAAAGGGAGATAGTAGGAAATAATTGCACATTTATAAGCAAGAAATGATGTTGGCTTGGACTCTGGTTATAGCAACAAATAAAGAAAAAAGGAAATACTGAGAAAAGTTGATTGGATTTGCTGACATTCTCAACATAAATGGAAGTCAGTATTTTTTTCTAATAAATATAATATGCATAAATATTTTTAAATATTTAATTCTTTTACCACTAATGGGGCACGAGTAGACTTCAGGGAACATGCCAGTACAGAAACATATAAATGTGATCATTGGTAGAGATAGGAATTAATAGGCATTTGAATCTCTCCCTCAACCTGGAATACCACAAATAAAGCTCTTTGCTTTTCATGTTGCATTGTTATCATACCCTATAGTTTTCTGCCATTTTCAGTTACTTAATATTATGTTTTGCCTCAATAGATTATAGTGCTTTCTCTTGTTGTGTTATATTTGCAGCAATTATTAGTGAAGTTTTAAACTTCAATATCACATCTAAAACAAAACAAAATTGTTGCCTACTATTTTCCATTAAAACATGAGACCACTATGACAAAAAAAGCTAAACGTGTCATGAAATGACTTACATTGGATGAAAGTATATGCAATATATTAAGAAATAATCTCTGACTTTGTAGTTTTTTATTTGTAGTTTTTACTAGAACATGAAATCAATATGTGAACCCTGGCTGGAGTTTGCATCTAAATGTAATAAAATAAAAGAAAGTTTAATATTATCATTGAAGCATTAATGTACATTAGCGAGCTGGACTATATAAAATAAACTTTATTATATTTAGCATTTGATTTTTATTTATGTATATTATAAAATGAATATAGTTTATATTATAATAAAAATAAAAGAAGTAGTATGTTAACTAATTAGTATAAGATGCCTACAAACTACATATCTGCCTAAATTTTTGACCCATGAAACTTCAATGATTTGTGTTAATGTTAAGGCCTACATTTATTTATATATATATATATATAATTAGGGGAGGAATTGTTAATTCTTTCATTTTAAAAATTTTAACTTTGCAGACAAAGTTGACTATACCTGTGGCAGAACACTGCAACAGCTATAAATAAATAAATAAATAAATAAATAACTTTTATTTTCTGTGGAGCTCCCAGAATTATGAATTATTCTGTAGATTGAGATTTGCCAAGGTCCTTTTCTTAGAGTTGCAAGAGCATAGGAGAAAGTCAAGGGAAATAATAAGCAGCACTTGATTTCCTTTACCACAGTGGATGGGCTTCTAAAACCAAATTACCTGACTATAAATCCAGATCTATCTTCTGCAGGCTACGTGATTGTGGATGTTACCTCTTCTGTGCTTCAATTTCCTCATCTGTAAAATGGAATTATAGCCTACCCTATTTTGTAGTATAGTGAGGATAAATAGAATGAATGTATGTAGTTCTTAGAATAGAGCATGGCACGTGATAAGTGGTCAATAAAATATTGTTTACTACTAGTTATGTAACAGTCACTTCACACATAATAATGATTTAATAAAGGAATAAGAAGAATGTAGAGCACAGCTTCTCAACATTGGCACTATGACATTTTGGGTCAGACAATTATTTAATGCAGAGGGGGCTATAGGATGCTTAGCAGTGTCTCTGGCCAGTAGCGTACCTCCTCCTCTCCAAGTTTTGACAACTATCAAAAAGGCTTCTAGACATTGACAACTATCCCCTGAAAAGTAAAATTGTCCCTGCTTGAGAACACAAATATAAAGTAACCACTCAAAGATTACATTACTAATTTTAATTGAATTTGACCAGCATTATGAAATAAGCATAAGCTTAAGTTTCTACCCTTGATTTTGTCATTGTCAGTTAGGGCAGCAGAGAACTCCAATTCTGAAAATTCTGAACATGTGCTAATACCCTATAATATAATCAAAACTTTCATTTTTGAATTGTATTTCTTAAAAATTAGAAAATTTATTAAGCAGCAACATGGAATAATTAACCACAAAAATGTTGAACATAAATCTCATTTGCCTAAGTTCTCTTTTGAAGTCCTATTTCACTATATAAGTATTATGTGTTTTGTTTCACAGCTAGATAACAGCCAGTTTTTTCTTTGAGCCTAAGGTTGCTTCTCAAATTTATGGTGGCTTATAGCTCTTCTAAGTTTCTATAAAACTTCAGCAACCTGCAGCAGGTTGAAATTTATTGATATTGAGTTATTCACCAGGTCATATTACAAAGTCAGGGATTGACTCACCCAAACCAGATGCTCCCCCTGCCACCAGATCACTAGGAGATATTGCAATCATTTCCCCTGGTTACTAAATTAGCAAAAATTCTCAGGGAGAGAGAAGGGCAAGATGGCACAGTTTAATACTTACTATTATTCTTTTATTCTTTACCATCATTCCCTTTGAATGGATTAAGAATCTGACATAAATATAACTTGCTAAAGAAAGGGTGTTAGGTGAGAGGGAAGTCATATTGGTCTAAGAAAAGTCTTAGAGAAATATTTTGAAAAGAGGCAGAGAGAAGGGTTGGATTGGAGTGGGTGGGTGGGGAATCACACTAAGGAGATGGATCATTCATAATTTCTTTAGACATGGTGAGGCAGCCACAGGAGTCTGAACTTGTTGAAACCCTAGTCTGAAGCCAATAAAAGTGCTCAATAAGGTCATACTTTGATCTTCTCTGCCTAAAGCAGTTATTCACCCTATCTTTGGGAGAGGAAACATCTACAAACCTTTGTTCTCTTTGTTAGCAGAGGGATGACATGAATTTGGGAAAAACGTTTGAGAGACAAAATGAGATTTAGCTCGAGCAAGTGATCGACTTGTGCTGGGTTGCAAATGGACTTTTCCAACAGGCAGATTGAAACTGTGCTTCAGCAATTAGGATACCAGATATAAACATCCATGCACAGAATTGGAAAGGTTCAGCTTTCATGGTTGCTATGGTTTGAATGTTCCCTCCAAAACTCATGTTGAAACTTAATCCAAAATATGACAATATAGAGAATGAGCTTTTTAAAGAGGGGATTGGATCATGAAAGTTCTTCCCTCATGAGTGGATTAATTCATTGATAAGTCAGTGGATTAATAGGTTATCTTGGGAGGGAAACCGTTGGATTTATAAGAAGGGGAAGATAGACCTGAGCTAGCATGTTGGCATACTCAGCCCTCTTGCCATATGATACCCTGTGCTACCTTGGGACTCTTCTGAGAGTCCCCACAAGCAAGAAGGCTCTCAAAAGATATGCCCCATCGACCTTGGATTTCCAAGCCTCCTTGGCTGTAGAAAATAAATTCAGTTCTTTGTAAATTACTCAGTTTTAGGTATACTGCTATAAGCAACAGAAAACGGACTAAGACAATGGTCTTATCCAGAACTTTGTAAACTAGAATTGCCTGTTTAGATTCAGTATGTATTTTTTTTACAGATGCAAAGTAATTTTGTTTTGAACTGTACAATGAAGGAGTGTCATAAGCTTTTCCACATGTAGAGGCTCTAAATATCAGTCTGGCATTGTGATAAAGCAGAGAGTTTAAACCCAATCCTATTTGTGCCCCATGAACGTTCTTTCTGGTTACAGTTCAGAAAAATAGGAATGGATGCGTAACTCAAGGAGAAGCATTTAATACATGAGGCTTTTTCTCAAAATTTTGATTTAGAAAATGAGGTATTTTAGTATGTTAATTATAGGCATTTCAACTGAGAAGTCTAATAGCATTGGGCCAGAATTGTTGCAGCAGTCCAAAGCCATGGATAAACTTAAGTTAAAGGGAACAAATACTAACAGCCTTCCAAATTAATCTGTATTGGAGAGGATGATAAACAGATGAATGGGAACTAGAAACCATGCAGACTTGGAACTAGATATAAAACAAACAGCTATCTAATGATTCCTTATTTACTCTGAGCCCAAGATATTCTTGTATCCTTTTAGTTAAACCTCTGTTTTACTAAGGAAATTTAAATAAGATTCTGTCTCTTGCAAGAAAATAACATCTAAGACATCTTCGTATTTAATACTGCCTTAATTTTGTTTACACCAGTGGTCCCCAACCTCTTTGGTACCAGGGATTCGTTTCGTGGAAGACAATATTTCCATGGACAGGGTTGGGGGGAAGGTTTCGGGATAAAACTGTTCCACTACTCAGATCATCAAGCACTAGATTCTCATAAGGATCAAACTAGATCACTTGCATGCGCAGTTCACAGTAGAGCTGGTGCTTCTGTGAGAATCAAATGCTGCCAATGATCTGATAGGAGGCAGAGCTCAGGAGTAATGCTCACTCATCCACCTCTCCCATTCTGCTGTGTGGCCCAGTTCCTAACAGGCCCAGTACCAGTTTGTGGCCCGGGGGTTGGGACCCCTGTTTTACACTATAACATTTCCACACGTCTCTCATGGCCTTTCAGATCCACTGCTTGTCTCAACTCAAGTCCGGCTACCTGAAAATTCGATTATTTTTTCAAAGTGAATTTGAATATCTTTATGTTGAATACACAGTCTCCACTTTTACGCAGCCCCTACTGTCTTATATCATACCTCTCTAGCCCTGGAAGAGATCAACTTTACATTCACTTTTCCTGTTTTAGGGCTATTATTTTATCTTCAATTATCAAAATCTATCTACATTTAGATACTTTAACTTGCAAATACATAGTAAACAATTACGGATTATTTAAAATAGCAGTTTTCCCATGAGTATAAAAAAAAAAGAACAATAAAAGCAATATTTGTTGAGTATTTTAAAGTGCCAGGCACTGCGCAGTGTGCTTTGCTTAAGTAAATGTTTGACAAAATAAAAGGTCTTTTAAAAGTTCCATGCTTTAACATTAATAACCATATAAAGATAAGGTTAGACTTTCTATCAAATTAGCAGTTTTGTGAAGATAGGCCTTTTCTGCTATATAGAATCTCCTCAAACCTGAGTGTTCGTATTATGGATTATCTAGTATACTCCATAGCTATCAAGTTTGTGTGTGTATGTTTCTTTCTCAAGCAAGTTATCTTATTTCTCCTTATTTCTTCAGACTTATCCTTTCTTTTCTTTTCTTTTCTTTTTTCTTTTTTTTTTGAGACGGAGTTGCACTCTTGTTGCCTAGGCTGGAGTGCAATGGCATGATCTCGGCTCATCACAACCTCTGCCTCCCGGGTTCAAGTGATTCTCCTGCCTCAGCCTCCCGAGTAGCTGGGATTACGGGTATGTGCCACCACGTCCAGCTAATTTTGTATTTTTAGTAGAGACGGGGTTTCTCCATGTTGGTCAGGCTAGTCTCGAACTCCACCCGCCTCAGCCTCCCAAAGTGCTGGGATTACAGGCATGAGCCACCGAGCCTGGCCCCTAACCTCTCATTTCTAAGGAAATGACAAATTAAGTCTTTTATGAAAATACAGTGTAGGGTCATTTAAAAATATTTTTTGTAATAGGTGTCTCTGTACATAAATCTATTTAATTTTTTCTCTTTTACAGTAAAAAGGCAATACTGTGTTTTAGTTTCACCAAAAATTTCAGTAGACCAATTGTGTAAAGGGATACATTTATATGAATTTTTTTGACATAGTAAAAACTAAGAGGGGAAGTTATTCAAATATTTCAGCATAAATTCCCTTTCCTTGAAATTGCAATCATCATGTGTAGCTACAATTCCTCAGCATTCCTCTGTAGTTTAGATATTCCCAAATGTCTGACTAATAACTCTATCTATAGGCAACTGTTCTGAAGGTTTAAAGTAAGGAGGATGGGGTTCATTTAGAACCAGTGGGAAAAAATGCTAATGCTGGGCTTTGAATTTTATGGATGCTGTAGCTGTTATTTTTCAATTAAATAAATGTTTATATGCCATGTTTTGTAGCTATCGCAGTTAAACTGCCCTCATCTTTTTGCCCAGCAAAAAACCCATTAAGATCTTCACTGAGATTGAGTCTAGGTTTTTTATAAAATTAATAACTGTGCTACTGGTTTCTCAAAAATGAGTAGAAATGACTTTTCAATGCAAATGCCAGTTTTTGATACAGTGAAATTATCCTGTCTGCAGTGACTATTTGAACTTTTATCGGCAATCGGACACTGAGAGACTTAGTATATGAACAGATTTATCCTTAGATTATCTAATACATGCTTTGCACCCTGCACCATAAAACCTGATCTATTTTTAAAGCCTTGGTTGTTCTGAAAAATGAAATGAAATTGTATTAAATGGCATTTTGACTGGGGAGAAAAAAAAAACTTCATGTGGTTTAAGAGAATGGATGCCGGCAATTGACTGTCTACTGTTTATTCAAAACCTATAGATTAGCAGCCAGATGTGGCAGAAATTGGCTGATTTTTCATTCACAACAAAAACGATGCTGTGCTTAATGAATGGAGGTTTGTTATCCCAGTAATAAGTAAAAGGTACATGAAAGCCCTTGTGTTTAATGTTCATGCAAATAAGCTATTTGCAGGTGGCTTTTGGGCAGGGTCAAATATTTTCAAATATTTTTCAAAACTGGGTCAAGTTTTTTAATTGTCAAAAATTACCAGCTAGAGGAAAACCTCCTAAAAACTTTATTATGCTATTTCCCAAGTAAATGAAATGACAAGTCACTTATCATTTAATAAATTACATATGAAAATTCTTTTCCTTATGATTTCATCAATAAATAAATTCTAGAGGATTCTAGATATATTTATTTGGCTTCTTTTTTTTAATGTGGTATCAAATTTTGTGGATATTCTTTAGAGAATCAAATTCTTAAAATGGCATT
Organism: Homo sapiens; assembly: GCF_000001405.40. Taxonomy (NCBI): domain Eukaryota; kingdom Metazoa; phylum Chordata; class Mammalia; order Primates; family Hominidae; genus Homo; species Homo sapiens. The sequence continues at coordinate 87,423,942 of NC_000010.11, forward strand.
GAACATTTAATTTAAAATGCCCTTCTTGAACCATACATGTTTATTAAAAAATTATTTTATATAGGTTATCCATTAAAAAACAATTTTCTATATATGTAAACATTTATGATAACTGCTCATTATTTTGGTCCATACTTATTTATCTACCTATTTATTAAACAATACAAATCATACGCTTTGTAAAAATAAAGGCCTAGTCTAATATTACTCTCTGTCAGAAATAAAATAATTCAGAGAAGTCTGTATTACAAGACAAAATAAAACAAAATAGAAAATGATGAGAATCACAAAACCATTGCCAAATTTCCAGCTATGATATTTACTCTCCATGTGGCCTTAGGTATCTTACTCTCTTATTTTAACCTTTCTTTGATTACTGTAAAAATAATTTGTTACTAAGAAGCCCTCTTGCTTTAGTAGCTGTGAGTATAAAATTAAGAACATAATTCTCAAAAAGTGTTTTAGTCTTCCTGGAAACATTTTAAAATATCAATTAATCATTGAACAATATACAATCGCCTGATCATTTGCTAAGAGAGGGTTGCATTCTCATCTCTGTTCACTTCTGTCCTTTCTGAGACTCAAACAGGTATGAGAGCTAGAAAAAATATTAATGTGTAGTAATTCAAAATTTCTCATTCATGAATCTCTTCAGCAGTGCAAAGAATACTTTGTAATTTTTAAAAGGCATTTTTATTAATATACTTCTACTATTCTACCCCAATCAACAGCAAATTTACCTAAATCATGAGACTACTGGTACTGCTAATTTTTAGAAAAGAATGACATAAGAACTACTATTAAACCCAATGAATCCTTTACCTGAAATGAGAATGTCCACGAGTCAGCTCTTCTGACCCTCTGGCCAGTGTTCTGGAGTTACTGATCTCCAACTTTCTAATTGAACTCTAGCTTGGTATGTGAGAGCAGCCATGGGTGAACCAGTGGAGCAAGATTTAAGCCTTGACATTGCCATTAATGATTCACCACCTGTTGCAAGTTCAATAAGTTATCCACACACCAAATTGTGGTCGCAGAATTCAGTGAGATAAACTAAGTTAGAAAGATTTGGGGTGAATAAATGTTTGCTAAATCAGAATTGTTAATGATAGAAATCTGTATCTTAACAAAGTTGAGAAATCTTGTCTTCTTAACGTGTATTTATTGACTTCCCAGGATATGTCTTAGTAAGGAAACATAGCTTCTGGCATTTATTATTAGAGTGATAAGGAATAATAAACCACAGTGCTTGAGAGACAGGGAAAGGCAGGGGGACCTAGAGACACAGTAACAGAAGCAGATTAATTGACTGATGAAATAAACTTGAGATGAGAGAGCACAGAGGAGGTTCAAGAGATGGAACCATATATTCCTCTCTATCTGCTCCCACCATCAAGGGAATTAATAGCATATTTTATAATGAATCCCTGATAAATATTAGTCTATAATTGAAAATCTATTAAAATGACTATTTCTTAGGGTACACAAAAATATTACAACAAAACAAGTAAAGAAAAGTTGCCATGGGATGGAATATTATATTTTCCTGCATGTCTGCTTCAAGGCAGAATCCTAATGGTCATGTAGGTAGGTAAATTATTCTTTTTACAGCAACTTCTGGGAGGTGGTATTTGGTGGCGCATAAAAGGCAAGGGGTGTAGTGAGGGTAAAGTGTAAGTACTTTGATCTTGAGCCTTGACTATATTGGACTTGGGATCTCGGAAATCTTGGGGATAAACCGTGGATTAAATCCATAAATTAGTAGAGTGTTGATTATACAACAGGTAGAACTACGTGCCACTTTTGGAGGGATAGTCTTCTTTTTTTAAAAAAACAAAAGGCCTTAAAGGCTTTATATATATATAAAGCCTTTTTAAATTATAATAAATACATATTTTTTAATGAAACAATCTGCACATATACAATTCCACTCTCAAGAAAGGCAATTATTTACATAATTTTGCAGAAATTCCTATAATTATGAAAATAATTGCCTTTCTTCAGAGTGGAGTTGTATATGTGCAGATTGTTTCATTTTAAGAAAAAAAATATTTATTGATTTGATTAACTGAAGTTCTGGACGCTTAAAAAATGATTAAAATACACAGATCTACTATCTGTCTTCATGAACTTTAAATGTCTTGTAAGAAACTCAAGTAATAAAGACTACAACATTTATTATTTAACTGGAACATGTATTATTTATTATCCTAACTGTGGTTAGGAAGCACCATTATCTATTATATCTAAATTAATCAAGTTGTATCCTGTAACAGGTTTCCTGTTATCCACTCATGTCTTCTAACTTCTGAAGTATTGTTTAAATTACAAAGGAGAAACCTAGACACTACATTTTCTAGGATCTCAGGACAATAGAGCTCCAGGTGAAATTATGCTAAATAAGGGCATGAGTGTAAGATGTGGATGTCACAGTGAAGAGATTTAGAGCATTTTTCTGGTGACCTCCTGTTTAGGTTTGACAAGCATCTAAAATCATTGTTAGCAACTTTCCCATAATTATTGCATTTTCAGCCTTTATGAAAATAGCAGCATTTTTTTTCCTTTCTTTGCCCATGCACACCATCTAATCATGAGATAAGTCTCCTTCTGAGTCCCCAAATACATGACATACATAGATTGGGATCTTTTTCTGACCTGTTCCTGTCTGATACATTCTTCAACTCTAAGATGAGTTCATACTCATCTTCTGAAGCCCCTGGGAAATGGAAATATTTTTTCATATTAGATGTTGGTAGAGACCCATCATTTAATGAACATCTATGTGCCAGGAATTGTACAAGGCACTTAGATACATTATTCGTGTACCTCACACAAATGTATCAACAACACAACAAAATGTCTGTATGAAATAATAATTATTATATCCCTTATATGGAAACAGATCCAGAGAGGAAGATACACTAGCATGTGTAAATAGAGGATTCAAGAATTAAACATCCATCTGTCCAACTGACTACAAGCTCTTTCATAAAATGCTAATTTCTCTCCTGCTTCTAATTTTCTTATCAAAAATTGTCATCTATTGTTATTGGGTCTATGGGTGGGTAGTGACTCCTTGGTTTCCATTTTGTTCTAGCGGATTACTGTCTTTATTTTTGTTCTAGTGTTTATTGAGAGTCCTAATTAATTAACCTGGCTGCTCTGACTTCCATCAGCTCACCATTGTCTCTTCTTCCAGCTCATAATTTCTGTAACAGAGCTCTAGGCTATGCTAAAGTTCTGCTATATGCTGCCAGTCTCTCTAGATCCAAGTGCCTCTTGTCGGCCAAGTTTATATGCACGTGTTTAAAATCTTCTTATTGACTCTATATACAAAGTCTTCACATGCCTTCCTCCTTAAAATAATAGCATTGTGAGAAGAAAAAAAAATCATCATTCTTTTTAAAACTAATTCAGGATGTCTATGTAATACAACAACAAGATGTGGGGGAATATTTACCTGGTAGTTCTGTCCCTCATTATCATTCTCACTCATTATAAAATTGGTATCTGAAAAAAATCTTGCTGCAAAAACAAAAAAAATGTATAGGGTATAAAGAAAAAGTTTGCTTCACATCATAACCATTACCCATCCCATTGCCAAAGGGAAGATTGTACACTACATGATTCCGGGGAGCAGCATTCACATAGACTACAGTGTGCATGGTACATGCAAGAGACCCCATAGTACTACCCACTTTGTCCTCCTTGTAGACATGCTCACAGATGATCCATGCTCCCTGACCTGGAGTAGTCAAATAAAAGAGTAGCATCAATTTATTAACATTCTTTCCAGACCATTTTCTAGGTATTCCCATTATATATTCCTTCAAATGGAAGGATTTTATTCTGTACATCGCATCTCACTGTACACATTTTTTTCTGAAATCTGAAATCTGAGTATTTTAATTTTATGCAGTTTCAACTGTGAGAAGTACCTGACAGACTGACCTGACCTAACTCTCTCTAAGCTAAAACACTCATAAACTAGCACAGAAGCTTTACACATTTATCCATTTCTCTAATTTACTTATCTATTTTTTCCTGAAACATCTATTAATCTGGCAGTTATTTGAGATGACTGTGAGCTTACTATTTGCCAGTGATGGCATGAGCACCTTGGTTTAGTCTAGTGCCTGGCATTTATTTTCCTAAATTCTGGCAGCAAGTTTAGCTGTAAGCATATTTTTTATCAGAACAATCATCCATCTTTAACTACATGTGAGGAAAGTACTTTCTTATATTGCATTACACATTTTTATATGGCCACAGAAATCCTTACTTAATCTGACAAAATTATGGCAGATTTCTTTCTCGTAAGGTCAAGGAAAGAATCATTCTGTACTGTTTCCATGGAGATGTTTCTCCTTTTCTCAATTGCCAATTGTCTACTGTGTGTCCTGGGTTCCTTCTTTTCATATGTCATGAGGATTCTCACCCCAGCATTCTGCTCCTCTGAGTAAAAGCCCTTGACTTTTCACTTCTCAGTTGTTTTGTTTGTAGTTTTCTTGCTTTCCTTTATTTTTCTTACTCTATAAATGCTACGAAAGTGTATGTAAAAATTTACCCATCTTTTAGTTTATATTTGTTATCACCCTTTATTCATATACCAAACCATATAGGAAATGAATATAAGGAGATCTTCCTTAGTAGGAGGTAGAAGTAAAATTTTGTTTAGAATAAAAACAGAAAAAAAGAGAACAAAATTCCATATCACCAGTTTGCTTCTAAATGCCCAATAAGTTTCCACTTATGAGCTTGCTACTGTACACAACGCAAGGGCTTGTAAAAAATTGTCTAAATGATAGTGGTTAAGGACGTACTTTAGGCTAGGTTACTTTAAAAAAATATATCATCACTTCTGCCGTCAAAAGTGAATTTGATGTATCATAATTGTTAAAGTTGAGGAGGGTCAAGGATTCCTCTCATTCTATGGTTTCCTTATAAATACACTTTCTAATAAATGCCTAATTTTTTTCTGTGAAATTAAACCATTAGATATTGCTGAATGTCTGTGTGTTTCTTACTTTTCTAGAATCTCATTCTTAATTATAGTTTTATATTTTTCCTTCAACAAAGTCTTAAAACCCATGCAGCTGGTGTCTATTATTTACATTCTGTGATGTATTTTATTTGACTTTGTGTTTTTAGTCTTTTCACAGAAATCCTTTTATTGTGATCTTCTTTTCCAAAAGCACTTATTTCATATCTTTTTTCCATACCTATCTTCATTAGCAGGTTGCATTTCAGTTTCTTCAGTCCTTTTTTAGATAATATATTTTACTACATCTGCCTTCACAACACTGTATATGCTCTGATGATCAGGTCTCCCTTTTTTTTTTTTTTTTTTTCAATTCTCGTCCTCTTTGGGACCCATGACAAAGTAAAAGGCAGACTTTTTTCTCACCTGACTTAAAAGTAAAAAGGTGGCCGGGCTCAGTGGCTGATGCCTGTGATCCCAGCACTTTGGGAGGCTGAGAAGGGCGGATCGCGAGGTCAGGAGATCGAGACCATCCTGGCTAACATGGTGAAACCCGGTCTCTACTAAAAATACAAAAAAAAAATTAGCCGGGCATGGTGGCAGGCGCCTGTAGTCCCAGCTACTCTGGAGGCTGAGGCAGGAGAATGGCGTGAACCCGTGAGGCAGAGCTTGCAGTGAGCCGAGATCGCGCCACTGTACTCCAGCCTGGGCGACAGAGTGAGACTCCATCTCAAAAAAAAAAAAAAAAAAAAAAAAGTAAAAAGCCTCATATGTTTCTCCTCTGATTCTTCTTAGGCCCAGCATTTCCAAAACCAAAATAGTACACAGAACATTAGTTGTAATGATACTTCAAAAGGTTCAAATACTAGTTTTTGGCTGCTTTCTGTCTATATTTTTCTTCTAGAGAAATTTTCTGTTATGAAGTATTGAACTATTCAGTATACTTTAATATTTTCCAAATAAAGTTTCAAAACTGATATTTAACAATATTCTCTTATATTCAAACATATTCTGAACTATTTTCTGCTGTGAACCTCTGCCTTTCTGGTTCAAGCAATTCTCATGTTTCAGCCTCCCAAGTAACTGGAATTACACACACACGCCACCTCGCCTGGCTAATTTTTGTATTTTTAGTAGAGACACAGTTTCACCATGTTGGCCAGGCTGGTCTCTCAAACTCCTGACCTCAAGAGAGCTGCCTGCCTTGGCCTCCCAAAGTGCTGGGATTACAAGCGTGAGCCACTGCACCTAGCTGGTTATACATATTTTCAAGTCTATTGATACCTAGTGCCAGGAACTTGATTTCAAGAAGAAATATATGTTGTATGAATGCAAGGGCTGTGTTTGCTTTTGCTCACCTGCTTCTGCAGTGGCCAGGCTTTTTGTCACATTAAAGGTACTCAGTAAAACATTTGCTCAATGAATAAATGTATGGCACCTGCCACTGAAAATTAAGAATGTCTCCAAAATCAGACAACATGACATGCGTATCTCTTTTGGGTTGCCAGTGTTGTAATTCTACTCACACCAGTGGTAGTTCTTCTGAGGCACTAACAAGTAGTATTTTTCTGGTGGTTATGATCTCACTTTCCAGCTTCTCTCATGTATCAGAGATATTTTATAGCAGTTGAAAATTTGAACTCTCAAATTAGATAAGTTGTAACTTAGAGTCCTCCACTAGGTAGCTGTGTAAACTCGGGAGTCATATAACTTCTCTGGGCCTCAGTTTTCCTCCATGAAATGGGAAGATTGACAGCATCCACTTCACCGAGAGGTTGTGAGGATTAAATGAGCTCATTTTCATAGAAATGCATTATGGTGCTGAGCACATAGTAATTGTTCAATAAATGTTTTCTGTTATTTGACATAATTGAGAAACTCTGAAAATACTTTTTCCTCCAAAAGGGAGTATATAAGGAAAGATGATGATTCTATGTAAACGTCTCAAAAAAGAGCCGAGAAGTACAAATGAGAAAATACAATTGAGAAAACAGAATTTTAAAAGATTTCATAACCTTTTAAATTCCTCCTTGGTTGTTTTTATTATCCCAGGCCTATTTCTTTCTAATAATTGGCAGAAAAATCACAGACCAAAGGCCTCCTCTGGCAGGGGAGCCTGGAAGAGCAGCTGGGGAGATTGGCGTCCTACCCCACTGCCAGTCTTCCCAGGGACTGAGAGAGGGAACAGGAAATTGGTGAGTGTCTGAAGGTCTACAGTGAGGGGGACAGAAGAGAGAATGCAGGGACAAGTAATAGACTGATAAAAGACTTTGAGACTTGAAGAGTTTCCAGTTTGGACGAGCTGCTGGCACTGTGTGCCTGGGTCAGTCACAGTGGGATATGGATGCTGACTACTGAGTGAGGATCGAGTAGGTGTGTGGGCAAGGGCAGGTCATGTCCCACTAAGGACTGGCAGAGGCTGGCAGTGCTAGGAGAGGACCAGTCCTGGGGGAGGGAGAGCTAGTGTTGAAAACAGGGACCAAATCAAGCCTTTGTTTTCCCAGATGTGCTATATTCAGTCATTTAATCGACAGCTGTTCTTGAGAGTCTACTATACGCCAGGTGCTGATGCAGGCCCAGGGGTAACAGCAGTCAACCAAGAAACAGGCAAACATTTCACCCTTTGTGGAGCTGTGTTCTAGTGGGAGGAGATAGACAATATACAATAAATATAAAACATACCCCAGTGATATGTATTAGAACATAATAGGTACCTTTTTTAAAAAAGAGCTGAATAATGAGGGTGGTGAGGGTGAGTGGTGAAGGGGAAGTTTGCAATATTGATTGGGGTTAATAAGGGTGGGCCTTGTTCAAACAGTGGCATGAAAGCCAAGACATGACGCAGGTAAACGAGCAAGCTAGAGAGTGTTCTAGGCAAATGTAAAAGCCTCAAGGTAGAAGTCTGTCTGTTTTTGAGGAAGGCCAGAGTGGCTGGAGCAGAGTGAGTGAGGGAGAGGATGGTAGGAAATCAGGGCAGGGAGATTAATAGGGGACCGGTTAGTAGGGACCCCAGGAGGCCACTGTAGTGTTGGATATTCCTGGATCAGAGTTTCTCAAATCATTCTCCACAGGTAATGTCTATTCTCCAAGAGAGTTTTCCTTGGCCTGTGGCCAGGCTGCTCAAATAGAATGCAGAAACAAAGAATTTGCCTGAATTCTGCTAGCCACTCTCCAAGGTCTTCTCCTGCGATGGGTGGAGGGACTTTCAGGGCAACCCTGTTCTAAGTAGGAGGTGAAGGTGATATCCAGACAAATCCTTCCTGGGTATTTGCTCGGGGGAACTTGGGACTTTTTGGCAGTATTGTCTAAGGCTCTGGCTCATTAATTCAGCCCTCGTGTTCCCGTATCTGCAAGGGCATAACTGCAGTCCCCTCAGTTCTCTGGGTAATGTGACTCTCACTGCAAACCTCAACATGGAAAGCTCTTGCTAAGGTGGGAAGGTCTCAGTCCTCCAAAGGAAACGAAGTTGTGGCAGCCTTTTTACTAGAAGGATCAACTTAGTAATTAACAAAAATACTTAAAATAATGAAGAGGAGGTGGGTGTAATCAAGAACTATGATTATTCAGGATCTCTGTAGGAGTAAATGTATTACTTCAAAATTCTCCAGTTTTGCACGCCCATGTTTATTGCAGCACTATTCACAATAGCCAAGATTTGGAAGCAACCTAAGTGTCCATCAACAGATAAATGGACAAAGGAAAGGTTGTAAATACACAGTGGAGTACTATTCAGCCATAAAAAAGAATGAGATCCTATCATTTGCAACAACATGGATGGAACTGGAGATCATTATGTTAAGTGAACTAAACCAGACACAGAAAGACAAACGTCGCATGTTCTCACTTATCTGTGGGAGCTAAAAATTAAAACAATTGAACTCATAGAGATAGAGAGTTAGAAGGATGGTTACCAGAGGCTAGGAAGAGTAGGAGAAGAGTCGGGGGTACGTGGGTGTGGTTGATGAGTACAAACAATAGTTAGAAAGGATGAATAAGATATAGTATTTGCTAGCACAACAGAGTGACTATAGTCAAAAATAATTTTATTGTACATTTTTAAATAATTAAAAGAGTATACTTGGGTTGTTTGTAACACAACAAATAAATGCTTGAGGTGATGGATACCCCTTTTACCCTGATGAGATTATTATGCATTACATGCCTGTATCAAAATATTACATGTACCCCATAAATATATACATCTACTATGTACCCACAAAAATTAAAAATTAAAAAATTAATCTCCAGCTTTGGAGTCAAAAGCTAAAGCCATTTTTTTACATTTTAAGATTTGGGGGATGAAAAATACAGCATTATGCTTTTAACAGCCCTTTACAGCTTTACCATTTTTTAACCTTTGTCTCAGCCTTCTTGTGTTTAAGTATAAGTGTTCTCTTTATGGAAACCCAAAGCTTCCCTTATTTAAATTTCAAGGATGTTGAAACATTGTAATGTTTCATTACAATTAATGAAACATTACATTAAAATGTAGAGTCTACATCATGTACCTGTTTTCTTTTTTTTTCTTTTTTTTTTTTTTTGAGACAGTGTCTCACTCTGTCGCCCAGGCTGGAGTGCAGTGGCGCCATCTCGGCTCACTGCAAGCTCCTTCCTCCTCCTGGGTTCATGCCATTCTCCTGCCTCAGCCTCCTGAGTAGCTGCAACTATAGGCACCCACCACCACGCCTAGCTAATTTTTTGTATTTTTAGTAGAGACGAGGTTTCACCGTGTTAGCCAGGATGGTCTCGATCTCCTGACCTCATGATGTGCCCACCTCGGCCTCCCAAAGTGCTGGGATTACAGGCGTGAGCCACCGTGCCTGGCCCTGTTTTCTTTTTTAAAAAATGTTTTATATTTTTAATTACCCTTTTAACTGAACCTGTTTTCAATTCATGTGAATATACATAAAGTATAACACTAAAGAGTTAAAGAAAATATCAAAAAACTCTCCCAAGAGGTGTCAACTGAGTAATAACAACCTAGTTGGAATTAAGCCACTTTGACAAGCTACACTTTCTGAGTGCTTATGTACCAATTGCCTTAACAGACATTTATTTCTTGGTGTGACAGGCTGCTGACCTTAGATCGTAAGCCCAGCCCTGGGTTTCCCCTTCCAGATAAAACTCTGTTATCAGACCAGAGCTGGCTTGCTCAGACACAGTGCCAGCCTACCTGACCACACCCTGCCAACAGCAGCTGCTGAGGAGTAAGACTGAAGTTACCCAAATGCTCGTCCAATGGGCTCACATGTTAAAGACCAAATATTCCCCCCGGATCATGATCTCCTCAGTCCTCTCATCTCCGGAAATGGAGCTACCATCCTTTCAGTTGTTCAAACTAAAAAGCTAGGAATCGTGCTTTGATTCATCTCCCCCCAACCATGTACATCTAATAATACAGCTAATTCCAACAGCTCCTTCTCCAAAAGATGTCATGACTCTGTGAGCTACCTTCCATCTCTACCGCCATAATCCTGGTCCACACTTCATCACACCTGACCTCAGTTATTGTGATAGCTTTCTGTTTTATTTTATTATTTGAATTTTATTATTTTATTTTATATGAGACATGGTCTCACTCTGCTGCTCTGGCTGGAGTGCAGTGGTGCAATCATAGCTCACTGCAGTCTTGAACTCCTGGGCTCAAGCAATCCTCCTGCCTTAACCTCCTGAGTAGCTGGGACTACAGGCACATGCCACCACACTTGGCTTATGTTTTTATTTTTTGTAGCGATGAGGTCTCACTGTGTTGCCCAGGCTGGTCTTGAACTCCTGGCCTCAAGCAATCCTCCTGCCTTGGCCTTCCGAAGTGCTGAGATTACAGGCATGATCTACCATGCACGGTCCCATAGCTTTCTCAGTGATCGCCATATTCCCAAACTTGCACTTTCTAATGGCCGTCAGAATGGTTCTTAGAAACCTATATCAGACCATTTCACGCCTCTGTGTGAAATCTCCTATATCTCTCACTGCAGTAAAATAAAACCCAAATTCCTTACCTTGGCCTACGAGACTGTTACTTGACCAGACTCTTACATACTTTTCTGACTTGACCTTCATCCCTAAATGCCACGCTCCAGTCACTCTGGGCCTTCCTTTTGTTTTCTGAACCCATTCAATTTGTTCCAGCCTTTGTATAAGGTGTCTCCTTTCCCTGGAACACTCCCTCCACCCCCTTGTCTTCTCAAGGCTGGATATGTTATTCTGATCTCATCTTAAATTACCACTTCCTCAAAGAGGTCCTCTGTGACTCCGCAGTCTAAAGTAGCCCCCACCAATCCGTCTCTATCCTATTTTAACTTTCAAGAGGATATTTTTCCTCTTTATTTCTTTTTCCTAGCTGTCTCCCACCCAGTGGGAGACACTTTCAATAGCTTGTTAGTAATCTAATATTTTTTTCTGATTGTAATAGTAGTGCATACTCATTGTAAAGTATTTGGAAAATACAGACGCAATAGTGCTTTGGCTGGGTTAGAGTCCCAGAATGTGAACTTTATGAGAGCAGCAATTTTGACATGCAGTTTTCTGCTATATCCCCAGCACCTGGAACAGTGCTTGGCAAGTGAAAGGTGTTCCATAAATAGTCAGTGCATGAATAAAGTTTTCTCTTGGTGGGGTTGATTTCTGAGTTGGTTCCATCATGGGTTGGTTATCTTTATCTTCCACTCTAGACTGTCTTCCTTCCTGTCCACTCATCTGATAATCTACATGCCCCATTCATCACTAGGGAACCCGTCACAGGAAGGGAGTGGGTGAACTAGCATAAGTGGAATAGCTAAATTGAGAAGACTCCAAAACTTATGCCTTGCTGCATACAAATTGTTAGCAATATCCTTTTGCTTATTAGAATATTCTGAATTAATATATAGATGTTCTAACACAAATTCATCTCTTTTAGCGCTTTGCTATCTCTAAAATAGAGAGGGAAGAAGCATTGTTCTATTTCTCACTGAAAAAAGAGTATTACAGAAATGATTTTAGAAGTTTTAAAAGTGCTATTGAAATGCTATTTTAAATACAGAAATGCTATTTTAAACATGGAGAATTAAAGTCCGAGCCATATCATCTAGCAATCTAACAAAAGGAAACGTAACTTTGGGCTTTGAAACCAGACTATGAACAGAGGCTAGTTCTCTATTTTAAGCAGTGTCTTCCATGAGTGGGTATTTTTATATTGCTATCTCCCCCAGTTTCAATAGCTTATTAGTAATCTAATATTTTTTTTCTGATTGTAATAGTAGTGCATACTCATTGTAAAGTATTTGGAAAATACAGACGCAATAGTGCTTTGGCTGGGTTAGAGTTTAAGGGTGTGTGTTAAAGCCCGGTAGAGGAACATGTGGTGTGAGACAACACTGCCCCCTAGAGGTCCTTGTGTGCCGCGGACTGACCGGGCCACCCAACCTCCGGAGACGTCCCACCGCTTCGAGAAGGCTCCTGGACAACGAAGCGCGTCCGGTGATTTCAAGGTGGGGCTAGGAGTCTTGTGAGAGGAAACTCGGTCCTGACCCTATGTGAGTGCTGAAATTCATAGAACTGTGTAGACAAAGGTCAATTTTATTGCATGCTAATTTAAAAACATTTAAAAATAAAATAAGCTTTAAATGCCTTTAAGACATAATTTAAAATAACTTTAGAAAAATTCCAGTGAGAGACTCATCCCATAATTTAGCCACTCCTTCTGATGCTAGACTGCTGCACTGTTCCTATCTCTGTATAAATAAACCTGTATTGGAAACTCTGGGGGCATAAATCTTTGTACATATTTAAGATTTTAAAAATTAGGATACAGCTCAGAAGTGGAATTATGGAGAAGATGAGTATAAATGTTTTTTAGAACTCTTGATATCTGCTGCCAAGTTGCTTTCCCTTCAAGGTCGTGTCAATTGCCGCTCCCACCAGCAGTGACTGAGATTAAATGGTTTGGGTATTATTGAGTACATGAAATTAGAAGACATATTCAGGGTTGGTTGGGGAATTGCCTCCTGGTTGAGGTGGGGTGGCGGAGAAGTAGGAGAGAAACGGAGGTGGGTGCGTGTGTAAACCAGGAGAGAAATAGGCCTTCACGCCTGAGGGTTATCTGCTTCAGGTTTTTGTGCTTCCCCAATAACTCCTATTTTGCTCCTTACCACTTTCTTTAGGATTGATTTTTATTTTCTTATTTCTTCTTCACCCTCTCTTCTGGCTGTAGTGTAGGAGCAAAGTTAGGCTACCAAAGCAGCAATACTATCCTATGTAATCAACCAAGCAACGTTTTTAAAACACCAATCATATGAAAGGCACTGTGCAAGCCACCCCTGCCCTCAGAATTTACAGTGCAACAGGGAAAGGTGAGGTTAGTGTGACTTCCCTGCCCAACACCACCTTTCTCCCTCCTAAGTTGCTAATGGTAATGATGAAAATAATGTCATCATCAGGTATTATTTAGCTATTGGAAGAAACCACTCAGTGTCGAGTTCATCAAGGAATCCGTCACAGATGTGAAATCAAGCCAGGCCTAGCAAGGATGAGTGCATTTAATTGAATGCATTTCAGGTAGAGAAATGCCATGTGCAGAAGTGACGGCCTTTGGTAAGGAGTATGGGACTGTGACTATTTCCCCTTGATGACCTTGCATGAAAATAAACAAACAGCATTTGAAAAATCTCCTCTCCTGAGGTGACTAGAAGGTGACTCAACAGTCCATTTCCATGCATCAGCTTGCTGGAGGAAATGGAAAGGCCTATTCCCCAAAGCAGTGTTTGTCTCACAGAAATAGAGATATTATGTGTCATAAATTGGGAAAACTTGTGAAATGAAACATCTGTTCTGCATGCTTAAGCACCAAGGCACTTGCAAAATACGAATTTTTACTCCATATTCCAAATGCTGTGATGATGAGCTGAGAATGAGTTTGGAAGGTTCATCTCTTTCCAATAAAAAGGTTCATCATGCCTCTCTGACTTTTATAATTATTTTGGAACATTTTAGATAGGAAATTGAAAGAGGAGGGAAAGAATGATGACAGAACTGAAGAAGAATTGATGAAAGGGTCAAAAAGCTAAAGAACTTTGAGAAATGGATTTTATGTGCAGTCAACAATGCCTTCAGCTAATTTAACCAAATCAACAAAGCCATTAAAATGTATAATGATTTTTATTTTGCTACAAATCTATGTAGAATGAAAGATACCTTGTGAAATGCAAAATCTTCCATATTTGGGATCTAAGCACCTGCATAGATGTTTGAGAAAACGGAAGGTGGCTATTCTTTTATTGAATGCTTTTAGAACATAATGCTACTCCCCCCTGCTCACTCCACCGCAATAAACACTTTATTCACTCTGGATGCCCTCAATTTCCCCTACCAGCTAGGAGCTGTGTATCACTCTCCAATGTACTGTTGATTTTCAATCTAGACCAGTCTCCAAGGTTACTCTTGACTTTAAAATACACAACACCAATTTGCAGGTTCCACCAGATATCCAGGTGTGAAATTTTCTGAGGCCAATTTAAAGAACAGACTGTCTTTTTTTCTTACCATGGTGCTGCATATTATTGGTGCTAATGCTACACCTAAGGGATTTCAAAGCTCATTTCCAAACATCATCTCATTTGAACTTAACCAGAATTGGGAGATGGACTGTGCAATTATTTTTACCCAGCATTCCAAAAGGGGAAAAATAAGCATCTGAAAATGACTTCCCCAAGGTCACACAAAGAACCAAGACAAGACACTACGTTTCCTAACTCCTATTACTCTGTTTTCTATTGTATTATATACTTTATGCTTGAACATAACCAGGCAAGTCATTTTCCTTGAAAACTCTCAGGAGAAATGTTCTCTAGTCCCAATCCCTTGTCTAATTTCTACTTAAACCTATATCCTCCCCCATTTCTCCTTCTCGGTAGGCATGGGGGATCCCACACTGCAGATCCCACATGCCTATCAGGAGAGTAGTGACCTTATAGAGTCCCACATGGCAGTGTAAAGCAGTGAGAGTCACCTCTTGGGTCCACGGTGGACTGATCCAACCATGTGGGCAGTGGTCAGAGGGGAGTTTTTAACCAGCAGTGGACCAGAATGGGTCACATCAGCAAGGTTGGTGCTGCAGCAAAGTGGCCATTGGGATGATAAAGGGATAGTGATGCTCACGTCCCAGTGTGGATGGTGGGAGAGCATGCATGTTGCTTTCTGTGATAGTATCCATCATGGTACATGAGGGCACAGTCGTTTCTCCTAACTCTGGAATACCAGGTTTCCTCCTCGACTCTCTCAGGATTCTCAGGTAAGAGAGGAGAGGCATGTGTGAGGGATAGGAGGAAGCCGAAAGGAAAACGAATGGGCAGAGATGACATAAAAGGCATATTTAATGAGGGATTGCCAGGGCAAAAGAAATAGATCCCCCTTTCTTTGACATAATTTTCAAATAATCATTTGTATCAAACAGCATTTCCCCCTTGGGGATTTTGAGGGACAGGTAAGGCCACCACCCCAGTGCCTGAGTTTATACTTATAGATACCTGCCTAAGACACTGGATGTGTCTTGGAGGGGGACTGTGGTCCTGCATTAGGTAGGTCGGTGCTAATGAGCTAATGAACTTTGGTTCAAATTGTAGAAGTAAACTGACCACTGTTCCCCGAAGTTGATACGGCCTGGGTGATACTTCTCAGACTTTCGAGTGCCTAAGAATCACCTGAAGATTCCGATTCAGTGGGTTTTAGGGTGGAGCCTAAAATCTTGCATTTCCAACAAGCTCCTGGTGATGCTATGATGCTAGTCCGTAGACTAGCTAAGTAGCAAGGAGCCAGGGACATTCAGATTACACTATGTATGTGGTTTTGCACCCTGATTTTTTTTTTCCTTTTAACCTCTTAAAACTTTTTGCTTAACATTTTACATAAATGTTTTCCCTATGATATTAATTATTCTTTAGACTCATCGTTTTTAATAAATGTGCTATTTAGTTACTTGGATGTGTAGTGATATATTTGATCAACTACCTTTTGTTTGAAATCTAAAATGCTTCCTGTTTTTACCTGTCATAAATCATGATGTCATGAGCATCCCTATTTATAAATCTTTGTTGGCTTCTCTGCACCAAAACTGGCAAGCAGGACAGAGCATTCCATTAGGGAAAAAAAGAAAGAGAGAGAGAGAGAGAGAGACAGAAAAGTATATAAAAGAAGTTGAAAATACTGTTTTAAAACAAATATTGACTGATCTCTAATGTCCACATCCAAGGCACTTGATGACAGGAATTATAGAATATTCAGAAAAATAGAGTTTTTCTTTCACTTCTGCTATAACGTGTACTTGGAAACTACACCATAAAGTATAAAGCTCGAAAGTGGCTGGAATTTCTGCATACGATGTATTGTAATTACAGATTGCGCTCCAAGATTTGTTATAAACTTTGTGAAGGGAAAAAAACACAAGCTGTGTTTTGTATATTAAACATTAAAATTGTAGGCTATATCGTATGCAATGGAAGGAAAATATGCCACATACATTGAATTTTTAAAAACTACCATACCATAATTTTGCATAAAAACTAATAAACAAATTGTATTAAGTGGGAAATAGTTAATAATTTGGCCTCTCTGGTTTGCTGCTGTGTCGCCAGGTCCTGGCTCCCATTAAGATGACATCTAGCCTATAGGCCATTGAATAGAAAAAAGACATTCCTTCCTCAAGCACTTAACTTCCATTCAGCCAAAGCTTATGTGTATTGATTTTGTTGCAAGACACGGTACTGCCGTCTGCTAGAAAATGGTGTAGCAATAAAATCCAAATGTAAAATTTCTACATTGTGAATAGTACTTCCCAGATGTGGTGCACAGTCTGCACAAGCATAGGCACTGGCCCTACATCTAAATAGATTTTTCTGGAATGAAAGAATGAATGTATTCTATTGATCCTGGTTATGCTTTGAAGCTGTAATCTGTCAGTACCCTCTGTGGTCACTAGATAGGAAGTTGGAGAATATTCAGAGTGATAAAGAGAAGGGTAATGGGAAAGTCTAAATGAGTGCTTCTCAAATTTTAATGGGCGTATGAATCACCCAGGAATCTTGTTAAAATGCAAATTATAATTTGGATGTGGGGCCTGGGATTCTGCATTTCTCACAAGCTCCCAGTTCACTTATCATCTGATAAGAATGCTGTTGGTCCATAGGCCACACTTCGAGTAGAAAGACTCTAAAACAACAGTCAATCTTGGCTTCTTGCTAAGTAAATGTTTTTTAGTAAAAATTGTCACTCTTAGTTCATTGAAATTGATTCAGTATTCTATTAATTTCTGTGTTGAATCTTGGAATGGAAAGAAACTTCCAGGTGATTCTAATGTGCAGCCAAGGTTGAGAACCACTGGTCTAGTGAAAAGTCATGCATCCAAAGCACCTAAATGTAGGGACTACGTGTAAAAGGCATTCACAAATGAAAAACATCAAATAATTGTGATTTTACATTTTAAAAAAAGAATTATTCTTCGTCTGAATATATTTATCACCACATGAATGATATACATTACTAAGTATTGCAGGCGTGTCCAACCTTTTGGCTGCACTGGGCCACATTGGAAGAAGAATTGTCTTGGGCCACACATAAAATACACTAACACTAACAATAGCTGATGACCTAAAAAAAAAAAAAAAAAAAAAAAAAAAAGGTCCATGCATAGTTTTCATGATATCCACCACCACAGATAAGCAAAATAGTCCTTGCATTGAAAAGGTTGGACACAGCTGGAAGGAGTTTAGAGGCCGGAAGAGCTCTATAGGCAGAAATACTTTGGGAATGAAAGTAATGGGAGGACATAGGACAAGACGCTGCCCTCCCGGTATCTCAGGTGTGGCATGAGCATACGTGACAGGGGCAGTGAGCACCTGGGCTAAGGATAGCTATTCTACTCCTCCGGCATTGTTCTTCTTACAGAGTTGAGAGCTCCTCTGCACTTTGTGTATGCCATCGGCCAGCTGATAGTACTTTGCAACTCTGATCAATCAACATGCTTGCAGATTGTTACAATCTTGCCGTTTTCCCATCCACGATAATCGCATGGCTGTATCTTAATGCCAGTTTACTGAGTTGTATTGCTAGGGGCTTTCTAATTCCCAGTAAAGATTTTTAAATCCCTCAGCCATTTTCTTACTTAAAACCATTAAAGGTAGCTTTAGGTATGTTGAGGAATGTGTGTGGATGATACAGCATTTCTCTTCTGCCTGGAATAGTTGTCTTCCCTATTGCCGCTGCATTCCCTCATCTACTCTCCATCTCATTTTAACAAAGGATTGGTATTTTAGAAAGAACTCAGATTCTCTTTGGGGAAGCGAGCGCCACCACTTGTAAGGTGATTTTTAAAGATATATTCACAAGTTATTTGATGCTTCTCTCCCAAAGAGATGGAGCTACATTCCCCTTTTCTTAGTGTGGGCTGGACATAAGGACTCAGATAGATCTGGCAGAAAGGATGAAATGTCACTTTTGAGATTAGGTTATTGAAAGACTGTGGCTTCTGTCTTGGGAGGTGCGTGCTCACTTTTTCACTCTTAAACTCCTCACTCGGAGAAGCCAGCTGCCATGCCGTGAGGCAGCCTGTGGAGAGGCCCACGTAGTGAGGAACTGAGGACTGCTGGCAGCCGTGGCAGTGAGTGCAGAAGCAAATCCTTCCCCAGTTGAGGCTGCAGATGACTACAGCCCTGGCAAACACCTTGACTGAAGTCTTGTAAGAGATTCTGAGGCAGAACCACCCAGCTAAGAAGCTCCTGGACTCCTGACTCACAGAAACTGTGAGATGACATTTGTTTTTTAAAAAAATTGGTAAGCTTGGCTGGGCGCGGTGGCTCACGCCTGTAATCCCAGCACTTTGGGAGGCCAAGGCGGGTGGATCACGAGGTCAGGAGATCAAGACCATCCTGGATAACATGGTGAAACCCCATCTCTACTAAAAATACAAAAAATTAGCTGGGCGTGGTGGCGGGCACCTGTAGTCCCAGCTACTCGGGAGGCTGAGGCAGGAGAATGGTGTGAACCTGGGAGGCGGAGCTTGCAGTGAGCCGAGATCACACCACTGTGCTCCAGCCTGGGCGACAGAGCGAGACTCCGTCTCAAAAAAAAAAAAAATTGGTAAGCTTGGGGGTAATTTGTAATATAGCAATCATCAACTGACAGAACTTGCCTGAAACAAAATATTTTTTTCAGCAAAGAACCTGCTATTCTAAGCTTGCTGAAACTGGCTCTGTATTGAAAACTAGAATGGAAAGGAATGTTTAGTGTCAGGGTAAATTCATGAATCAGTGGACCCAACAGAAATGCAGTGTGTGTGTGCGTGTGTGCGTGTGTGTGTGTGTGTGTAAAATACATCTCACTTCTTTGGAAGTGAAAGATGAATTTTTGGAAGAACAAAACTACAATCAGTTCTTTGTTGTCATTGAAATCATTTGATAATCCGAAGCAT
This sequence comes from Homo sapiens, assembly GCF_000001405.40. Classification (NCBI taxonomy): domain Eukaryota; kingdom Metazoa; phylum Chordata; class Mammalia; order Primates; family Hominidae; genus Homo; species Homo sapiens. Next base: position 87,443,360 of record NC_000010.11, read on the forward strand.
GCACGCACACTCCCAAAAGAGTAGAAGATGGTAGCTCACAAGACAAGGAAGACTGGTAAAGCTACTGAGGTCTGTGGGAGCTGCCCTGTAAGTCAGAAGTGCCCACAAGTTGGAGCCATTAGGTTTTAAATGACAGAAACCCAATTCAAGCTAGTAAGCAAAAAGAGAATTTATTGTCTTACACATCTGGGAAGTCCGGGGCTACAACAAACTTCGGTACTCCTGTTTACGGAGTTCTCTGTCTCCCTCATCATCTCTGGCCCTGCCTCCCTGTTTCTTTCCTCAACTTCTCCTGTGAGAAATCACTTTCTTTGGCCACCAGTAGCCCAGCTTCTCATCCTGAGTTTGCCTGCTCCATGGCAAAAAGTGCCTTTCTCCTAACAACAATTAATCCAACCCTAGGAACATTCTGATTGCCTGGCTTGGGTTGTAAGCCTTTGGCAAGGGGAAGGTGGTGAAGATGTTGTGATTGACAGGTTTGCCTGGACCACATGGAAAGAGAGGGAGTGATTACCCAAGGAACCCAAGAGGAGGGTGGGTGAGAGGGCTGTTAAACAAAAATATAATCACCGAAGCTCCCTACAACCTGGAGGCTTGATGAGAATAAGCCATGACACATGGTTGCTGTCGTATGGTTGCTGTTCTAAACACATGGTTGCTATTCTTATGGTGCTTCAGTGAGATGCAACTAGAGGCTCAGGTTATAGGCTGAGTTAAGCCAGGAATGGGGTTTTCTTCTAGAAACTTCTGGAACTGAAAAGTTAAATTACTAGGAAGTCGCTGGAGAGGTTAGCTGGCCCTCCATGTCTATTCTACTTAAAGCTGTTCGACTTATAAGTATGAGAATTTAATTCTTCTCCACTCAGCAAGAGAGAAGAATGAGGTGTCTTTGCCTTTATATTTCTAAGAGAACTCATTTAGAGTTTTAAAACACAGGGAGATTAAGGATGTAGGAATGTGTGGAGGTGGTAGACATCTGCTGAATTTTTTTCATAAGAGAGTTTGAGTTGAGATTCTGACATATGCAGCCAAGAGATCCTAATAAAGCTGGTTCTAAAGAGATCCAGATTTTCATATTAGAACTATAATAAATGAGATTTATGTGCTTTTATGAAACTTTACGTTAGCAATTAAAGTATTTTGCACTGGAGGATCAGTTCAAGGGCAAATCTATGCAAAAATGTTCCAACTGAAACCTTTGTATTCAGAATCACAGTGTGTTAGAACTGAAAGAGGCCTGAAAGATCCTATTTGTTTTTTAAGTAAAAAGAAACATCTTTTCATATGTTTAATGGTTATTTGTATTTCTTCTTTTGTGAATTGCCTTTTAAAATTATTTCTCATTTTTCTGTTGGAACATTAATTTGCAAATTATTTGTAAGTGTTTTTATATGCATAATATAAACATATTATTTGTCATATACTGTATGCATCTTTCCTTTTTCCATGTTATAGTGCTGCTTTCTATATATCCATGAAGTTTTAAGTTTTTTGTAAGTTGATTTATCTCTTTGTAGATTATATCTTAGTGTTTATAACTAGTCAAAAGACTTCCCAATACCCAAATACACTAAATAGCCACATATTTTATTTTGCAATTTTTAAAATTTTATTGAATTTTAAGGATCTGTCTTTAATTTAATTATATATAAATCTTTAACAAATCTGAAATTTAATTTGTGAAGTAGGCATCTAATTTTATTTTTTCCCAAATGGTTAGCCAAATATTGCTGTACCATTTATTAAGTAATCTAGTTTTTCCCTATTCAACTGAAATGCCACACTGACTTAATGTTTTATTTGTTTATTTGAGGCGGCAGAACTTCTCAAAACATTTATTAACAGAGAACAATGTTTCATGTAATTAGCATTTGACTTAATAGCTCAATTTGAAGAATGGAAAAAATAAAGGGAAATGATAGATTTCAGTACTACGAACAACATTTGTTGGGACTTTTGAAGGTAGATAAATTGGAAGAAAAAGTATTATGTTGCTTTATTTTAAAAATAGAAGCTAGCAATTTTTAGCTGCATTTGAGGACTTTATTTTCTTTTTGCATTTTCTTCCCTGTGGTCTACAGATTTCCTAGCAGACTTAACATCTGGCATTGGGGAATCCTTAAACCCAAGGAAGGAACTGCTGGCAGGAAATTTTCTGTGGATGTTAGGATTGGGAAAAGGGGAGATGAAATAAGGGATGTGCTTCCTTAAGATTATAAACTCTATCCACAAAGCCCCTGTCTGGAATTCTGGGTTGAATTGTATCCTCCCCAACCCCCACCGAAAAAAAAGACATGCTCTTCAACATATCTTCCTAACCCCCAGTATCTCAGAATGTGACCTTATTTGGAAATAGGATCATTGCAGATATAATTAGTTAAATAAAAATGAGGTCATACTGGAGTAGGGTAGGCCTCTGATCCAATATGACTGGTGGCCTTATTAGAAGATGGCCATGTGAAGACAGAAACACACAAGGAGAAGACCATGCAATGATGAAGACAGAGACTGGAGTTATGCAGCTGAAAACCAAGGAACAGCTTCTTATGTACTTAATTTGTGTCAGATTTCACTACGTGTCAAAGCTTGCTATAAAACCACCAGAAGCTAAGAAGAGAGGAAGGATTCCCCTACAGGTTTCAGAGGAAACACGGCTCTGCTTACACCTTGATTTCAGAGGTACAGCTTTCTAGTTTGTGCTCCTTTATTATGGCAGCCCTAGGAAACTAAAGCAGCCCTCATGAGTTTTAATGGCCTCATGGCTTCTGACACCAAAATGCCCCCAAAACACCTTTGATCTGAATTTTGTCAAATTTTGAACACTTATAGGAGATGATATAACTAGAATATGATGAGATACTTATTAAATAAAGCCCAATGACTCCATGAATTCCAAGTAAAAGTTAAGTAAATCCCTTAAAATCAGAGCTAGAATAATTGTTCTGCCACTCATTAGCTCTGTGATCTTAAGCAAGTTATTTAACTTCTTGGGGCCTCTGTTTCCTCATCTGTAAAACAAAATATCTACCTCAAAGGGTTATCATAAAAACTGGACGAAGTAGTGATGCATGCAAAAGTACTTAGAACAGTGCTTGATACAGAGTGAGTACATAATCGATGCTCTTCTTCTTTTTCATCTCCTACCCCTCCTCCTCCACAAGTGCAGCTGAACAAATTCAAAATGATAGTTCATCAAATAATTGCAACAATATGCTAGACACTCATATAAAGATCCATTGTAATGTAGTCATTTTGCAATGGAAGTTTGGCCGTGTGACAAGAATGTGCCCCTGATATGTCTCCTTGCAGGTTACTATGAACTGAATTGTGTCCTCCCCTGGCAAACTCATACGTTGAAGCCCTAATCCTCAGTGTGATTGTATGTGAAGATAGGGTCCTTGGCAGATAACTAAGGCTACAGGAGTCATAAGGGTGGCACCCTAATTCTATAGGACTGTAGCCTCATAAAAAGACGGAGAGAGAGAGAGAGCTCTCTCTATGGCAAGCACCGAGGAAAGGCCACATGAGCGTGCAGTGAGAAGGCAGCTGTCTGCAAGGCACAGAGTGCACTCACTAGAAGCCAACCACGCTGGCACCCTGATCTTCCTCTTCCCTCTTCAGAGCTGTGAAAAAATTAATATCTATTGTTTAAGCCACCCAGTCTATGGTGTTTTGTTATGGCAGCCAAACTGACTAATTCACAGATTCAACACTCAAAGGGTTAAATATATATACCTCTTGGAACAGACAATGTGGATCTCCCTGCTTGGCTGATCCTCCTTCCCTACTAGTCTTCCAAATTTGTAGTGCTATAGGGCCCTCTTCTTTACCCTTGGTCTTCTATCTCAATCCAGCCCAAGGCTTTAAATACCATGTGAAATGGTTTGAATGTATATGTCCCCTTCAAAATTCATATTGAGACTCAATCCCCAATGCAGCATTGTCAAGAGGCAAGGCCTTTAGGAGGTGATTAGGTCGTGAGGGAGCTGCCTGTATAAATGAATTAGAACCTTATAAAAGGGATGGAGGGAACTAGCTAAGCTCTTTTTGTTCTTCTCCTTTCTCCCATGTAAGGATGCTACAGTGAGAAGATGCCAGGTCCTCATCAGACACCAAACTTGCTGGTGCCTTGATCTTGGACTTCCCAGCCCTTAGAACTGAGAGAAATAAATGTCTATAATTTATAAATTACCCAGTCTGTAATATTGTGCAGCACAAAGTGACTAAGACATCGTATGTATACTGATGACATACAGATTTAGTCCTCAACTCTTCCTTCAACTGCAGGCCTATGTGTCCAACTTCCTTCTTGACTCCTCCACTTGGATGAATAATAAATAGCCACCTCAAATATTTTAAAGTCCAAAACAAACCCTTCATTGAACTGTTTGTTCCCTCTTTTCAACCATGCCTTGTCCATGTGGACACCCCCACCCCAAAAGTCATCCTTGATTTCTTTTTCTTTACCCCCTCTGCCCACATCCAACCCATCAGTAAGTCTTGTCAGTTCTACTTCCAAATTATGTTTTTAATGTTATTCCCATTTCTCAGTTCCACTATCACCACCACGACTATTTCTTGCCATAGTCTCATTTCTTGCCATAGTCTCCTAAATGGTCTCCCAGTCTCTAGTCTTGCTGTCTTATAAATTCCTCTCCACTCAGTAGCCAGAGTTATCTTTCATAAAATATAATTTTAATTTTACAAAAAAAATACATGTGCAGAGTTTAAGCAGGCAGAGTTCAACAAATGATACCACCAAAAGGAAACAAACAAACAAGACATACCAATACCTTCCAGATAAATAATTTTTAATGGCTTCAGCTCAGAGTTATCTTTTCATTTGTTTGTTTTTGGTTAGGTTTTTTGAGGTACAATTTGCATAGAGTAAAATGCAGCAATTCACATATTTAGGTATACATTCCAGTGACTTTTGACAAATAAATTCAGTCATGTAACCACTATGATAAAAATATAGAATATTTCCTTTACCCATAAGATATAGATGGATATAGATATAGATATAAAAGATACAAGGTCTCCTTCTGTTGCCCTTGAACTCCTGGGATCAAACCTCCTGCCTCACCCTCCCAACTAGCAGGGATTACAGGTTTGAGCCACTGTACCCGTCACCATAAGTTATATTTTAATACATTAACTGAATCATGTCAACTCTTTAGGCAAAAAGCCTTCAGTGACTTTCTTCTAACTTAGAATAAAATTCAAACTCTTTGTCAGGGTCCTTGAAGCCCTACAAAACTCACTTCCATTTACTTCTCTGAACTCCCCTAATAACAAGTCCCCTCACTCAGCAGGGCCCTGCTAAGGAGTTTCAATCTGCTTCATGGACATTCAACCTGCCTCTCCCCTTGTCTGGAATGATCTTCCTCTGATGTTCCATCCACCTTACTTTTTCTGATCTCTTTATTCAGTGTAGCTTTCAATTCACCTCAAGTAAGTTATTAATTATTTTATCCTGTTTATTTCTTATCACAATTTGGGATAATTTTGTTAATGTATCTTTTTGCTTGTTTATGTCTTAGACCACCAGAATGTAGCAAGATAAAGGCAGGACCTTGGTCCATTTATGCAACACTATATTCCCAGCTCCCATGATATTATCTATTCTACCACACAGAGGGTTCTTCATATTAGGTTGAACTATTTGGAATTACCCACATATGACCATTTTTAACCTACAAGAATGGCGATTTCATATGGTTCATTTGGTTTATAAATACTTGCTGAATAAATGAATGAACTGAAATTTTGAGTTGATGCCACCAGGAAGAGAATAGACAGTTATATTTGTGCACAGTTAGAAAGAGTTCGCTGTCCTGAGTTCACTTGATCACTTTTTATCCTAAATTGCCACCCGCTACCGTCGTCGTCTTCCACATAATAATTTTCTATTAGGAAAATTATTCATTAAAACAGATAACATGGGTCACTTAAGTGTAAAACTTAAAGGTAACACTTTTTTAAGGAAATCTACCAGAAGAAAATCTTTTTCTAATTTTTAAAGTTTAATGAAACATAATTTACATACAATGTAAATGGCTAATAATTTACGTACGATAGCTAATTTTTAACTCTTCATGTTTTTCTGTTGGCAGGCAACGTGTTGGACCTTCCGGAGCTTCTCAGAAGACAGAGGGTTTTCTTTTGAGGTAAATTTGATAGTACATTTTGATAGTACAGGAGGCGATACGGCATGGTGACAGAAAAGCGCCGGCTTGGTTAGCGGGACCACCTGGCAGGGCTGCAGGCTGTGCCACTTACCAGGCAGGGGACCTTGGGCCAGCTGCTTGGCCTCACTCACCCTGTTTCCTCAGCTGCAATTGGGATGAACAGACTGCCTGCTTCGGGGTTGCCTAAAACTCACATTGCTTAATGATGTGAAATGCTTAGCGCAGTGCCTGGCATAGAGAGAATTCTCATTAGATGATACCTCAGCTGGGCTTTAGGAGCTACAGAAGAAGCTGCATCTCCATGAGCTCAGCGTGTTTCTAGCTTTCCTTTTTGTTTTCTATTCAACCTTTCACCCAACTCAGCTTCTCAATCCCTAAATGACAAAGGTTTGGGAAGGAAGACTTGGACCGATGCTTGCATTTGTTTCTGAGAATTAAACGTTATGTTTTCTTCAATCCAAATAGGTTTGCTTGTACAGCCTTGTTCAATGGTTTTTTTTTTTTTTTTTCTCCATGATAAATGACTCTCAACTTCTTTTCCCTCATTTAATTGCTTATCTACATACAATGCCTGGAAGGAAATAAATGTAATGGCCCGTAGCAGTTGGCCTTCAGGTATCAAGTTTAAGTCCCTTTAAGCAGAACAGCAAATTGAGCACAGAATGAACTGGTTTCATGGTAGCGTACTGCAATTAGATGCAAGAATAGGGAAAGCAGGGTGCTTCAATTGGTGACACAATTAGTATAGCACTGGGGGACTTCTCTTTCCACTTCTTCAACTCCGCCTGCATTCCGCTGGCTGAAGAGTTGATGACATCCCTGAAAAATCTTCCCTCTCTTGTTTCTCTGATGCCACCTCTGTGTTCTCCGCCTCACTGGCCACACTTCCTTTACCTCCCAAACTTTTAACTCTGAGTGTCCCAAACTTGTCTCATCACCTACCCCTGCTGCCCAGCTCCCCAGCCTGTTCCCCTTCTGACACGGGCACTCTCCTTCTGCTGTCTTGGGAGAGAAACAATGAAGGCCTAGTTGGCACTTTTATTTCTATTCAAGGAACCAGACTGTGAACAAGTTTACCATTTAGTCCTTTGGACTGTGTCTTGAATTCATCCCTCTTCTCCATTCTCACCAGCACCATCATCATGATGGCTAATATTTCCTGAGCACCTTTCATCCAGGCATGATGCCAGGTGCACCAACTTACTTAATCCTCATAGCCACCACCTGAGCAAGCTCCTGTTTTATAAATGGACCAGTTCTTGTTGCTATTGTACAAGTTATTTTCTTTCTATAACGTCCTCCTTGTCCTCCTTCCACATTCTTAAAGAAACTTGCCCTTCCTTTAAAGTACTCAGGGAGCCCTGCATTGCTTCTTGAAGCCTTCTCCAGCTTCATCATCTCACAGTGGTCTCTCTTTTCACTAAATGTCCAATATGCTGCACATAAGTACCCCAAAGTTAGCACAGAATTGTTCCATGGCTGTCATATATGTTAAAAATCATTAAAAGTTCATTTTTTCTCTCATTATGGGAAGGATACATGCTCCTACTAGTAAATTTAGTAGGTAGAAAAAAATTATCACTATCTAGACTGCTTTCCATTTAGTCTTTATGCATAGCTTTCTGTCTGCCTATTTTTACCTTGTGTTTGTAACTTACTATTATAAAATATGCGTCTCTATGTGCATTGTCAACATTATTTACAATAACATGGAGTGGATTGACACGTATTCTCTATATTTGGATTAAAGGAGATAGAGTATGTGAAATTAAATGGGAGAAGTATCTGATACATAACAGGCAATACAAATATTATCACATAGCGTCAACTTATTTGTGAATATTGAAAGCTCCAAAAAAGAAAAAAGGTTTTTTTTAATTCCCGTAATCACTTATTGCAGTATTGTGTACATACAAAGTGCTCAATCATTTTGGAGGAATAACAATTTTTTTTCCTCATCATGAAGTAAGGTATGCTCACTGCAAAAAATCTAGAAAATAAAGAGGAACATACTAAAGAAAAGAATACTCCCATATAATCTCTGTCTTCATAAATAATCTTTTGTAACACTTATACACTGCTGGTGGGAATGTAAATTAGTTCAGCCATTGTGAAAAGTAGTGTAGCAATTCCTTGAAAAACTTAAAATAGAATTACCGTTCAACCCAGCAATCCCATTATTGGGCATATACCCAGTGGAATGTAAATCATCCTGCCATAAAAACACATGCACATGTATGTTCATTGCAGCACTATTCACAATAGCAAAGACATGGAATCAACCTATATGCCCATCAGTAGTAGACTGAATAAAGAAAATATGGTACATATTCACCACAGAATACTAAGCAGCCATAAAAAAGAAAAAGATCATGTCCTTTGCAGCAATATGGATGGAGCTAGAGGCCATTATCCTAAGCAAACTAATGAAGAAACAGAAAACCAGATACTGCATGCTCTCACTTATAAGTGGGAGATACACCATGAGAACACATGAACACAAAAAGCGGAAAAAGAGACACCATGGCCTACTTGAGGGTGGAGGCTGGGAGGAGGGAGAGAATCAAAAAACTTCCTATGGAGTACTATGCTTATTACCTGCGTGATGAAATAATCACTTTGAACGTGGTCAGTACATTATCTTCTAATCTAGACTCTTTTCTATGTTCTATATACACACAGAAATACACATGCAAAGCTGAACACATGTGTGAAACAAAATTCAGACACTCAAATTTTCCGCCAACACGTGATAAAATCTTGCACAATAGCTTCCTCCACAGAGGAAAATGTCTTTACTACATCTTAAAAATGGGGTAAATGAATAGTTAGGCTCTTCAGTGTAATAATCATGATAAATATTCTCAATATGCGAAAATACAAACAAAGGACTTTCTCTCCCAGCAAATTTAGACCCACATGAAAATTTAAGCACAATCATTTTAAACGAATTTATCCTGGAGCTTAGTGGTTCGAGTTCAAGGTTGAGGAGCAGTCTGGGGACATCAGCTCTTAATATTTTTCAAGTTTTGGAGCAAGTGGTTTCTAGGTTCTGAGTGAAGTGAAACAGAATCTCTAGGGGCATGTGGTAAAGATAATCCCATACTATGTACTGCGTAGAGTTAAAGAGAAGAGGCGAGAGCATGAAGATAAACCAGTACAATCAGTCGTTCACATACCACTAACTACAATGATACTCCCATTTGCTTCCTGTGAAGTAGTTACTAATAATCACTGATGTCGCTTTTTAATTTCATACATCCTTTAACTGTCTTCATATAGGTATTGAAAGAGTCAACATAAAAGCCACATCCATTTTCTAATTTTGAACAATAGTTAGAGAAACCTAATATCTTCTCATATTTTTGTCTTGCTTCTGTCTCATGAGTTCCCAAAATAGATATATTATCTGAATGAAGAGTTCATGGGCAAATGTCACACTTTTCTTGGTTTGGCTAATTATATTTCTGCTTTTGCTTAGAATAAGATTAATTTTCCTATTCTGCTAATAAACCACGTGATGGCAAAATGCCTTATTCTGAGAAAAGAAGCCTTTGGTATTTTAAAGAATTGGGAAGCTATTTCAGATAAGCTATCATATGCATGAAGATTAATTTATTCATATGAAATGTTCAATAACCAGAAAAGACTGTTTTAAATAAAACCATTTCACAATTAAGTTTTTTTTTGGTTATGGACAGTGATTTCTTCTAAGAAACAAAGCGCCTGTCTATATGAAGAATAACTAAAATAATGGTTAGCAAATATTGATTGGATCCAGCCAAGTGAGCAGCATTTTTGAGTTTACAGATGTGGTAACTTTGAACTATATTTACGTGCTTATAATGAAACCTTACAGTTGGAGTAATAGCTTTGTTCCTGAGTCTCATGAATATTTTCCAGCTCCTTTGTCCTAAATTTCTGCCTGACAATCATCCATTTCAAGGAATAAAAGGATATAATAAGTGATAAACCTATGCTGGAAATTTTTAATCTAAAAAGTTCACATACTGTTTCTAATAAACTGAAAACTATTAGAGAAAGATGGAGGTATTAAAACCTGTTAATAAGGAAATCAATGGCAACATATTTTAAATGGTTTTGAATTTTATAAAGATTTTCTTTTATAGCACTATGTCCTTTTTCTTTTCTTCTCCTTGTTTGATTTCCAACAGCTGAGCTATTTACTTGTTGAGTTATTTCATATCTATTATTCCATTTAGACCTTGAACCCTGTGAGGGCAGGGACTAACTTTATTCCTAGTGCCTGTCACATGATTTGAACTAAATAAGTATATTTTTCCAGCCTGCACTACTACGTACAATAAGGAGTTTCTTATATTTACTTGAAAATGTTTTCAACCTTCTAGGGATGACCTCTACTATTATTATTCCATTATTGACCTTTCTATGCTTATTATTGACCTTTCATCTTATTATTCTGATTTAGTAAGCAGATTTTATGTCTCCTTGTCCATACCATTCAAGGCTATCTAGATTTCAATTGTATCTTCAGATTTTTACCTTCCACATTGATGAGTCCCAATGTGAACCCTCCAAAGCAGGTTCCTACTGCACTCATCAGTTTCTTTGGTTGAGGGATAGTGGCCACTATGTCCTTCTCAGGATGTTGGAGACATGATGAAATAAAGACGGTGATATTAGCCCCCTAACTGTAATCACTCATGCTGCTCCCACCCATGTCTACCCACTGGAACAGGGAGTGGTGGCATTGGGGTGGTACAGGGCTTGCCGAGGATGTTGGCTTATAGCTGTATCTCCAAACATCCAGAGCATGTCTTCTTTTTCACCTCTCCTTTAGAATCTGCTTCCTCGAACCATCCCTTTAAGTGCAGGAAGAAAGCTATTTTTAATGTGAAAATTACTGTTCCAGTTATCTCATGGTGGAAATTCTTAATGGGCTCTTACTTTGGGCATCTGTCTGGCTCTCAGTGCCAGTAACTTTCTTTTCTTCTTATCTTTGTTTTGTTTTGTTTTGTTTTAAAGATGGGGTCTCCGTCACCCAGGCTGGAGTGCAGTGATATGATCATAGCTCACTGCAGCCTTGAACTCCTGGGCTCAAGCAATCCTCCCACCCCAGCCTCCCAAGTAACTGAGACTACAGGCACCCACCACCGTGGTTGGCTATCAGTGCTAATAACTTTCTGAAGCTCCATGCCTTTAACTCCAGCGTTCTTTACTTAGTGTTTTGAAATATCTGCTGCCCACAAATCCTAGCACATTTCTGAAGTTACCAAGACTTTAAGACCTCCCATACTGCTTTTTCTCCCATCTTCCCTTCTCAGTGTTATTAGCCTCATAGTTTCAAGGGCCCAGCCCAGTATCCACCACACACCATATCCCATACGTACAAATACAGCATAGATAGTATTGAACATTTCATTTTTCACTTTAGCTTGGTGAAAATTAATATGTATTTAGGTATTTTATAGTTATGACTCTTAGTTTTGGGTTGTCTATCTGCTCCATCCTTATTTCTACCTTTAAATGCAGAGCTATTTCCACCAGCTTGAGATAAAAGAAGACAATAGATCCTAAGTCTTCCACTTGGTTCCCTATGGGTTTTGTTTGTTTGTTTGTTTGTTTGTTTTTGGTAGAGATGAGGTCTTACTCTGTTGCCCAGGCTGGAGTGCAGTGGTGCAATCATAGCTCACTGCAGCCTCAAACTCCTGGGTTCAAGCAATCCTCCTGCCTCAGGCTCTGGAGTCACTGGGATTACAGGCGTGAGCGACTGTACCTGGCTTCGATTTCCTGATTAAATTATTCTCTCTGCAGCCAGTTTCTTTATTCCAGCCTGAGTCATTTTCTTGCCCTGGGTGACATTTTTCCGTCTTGGACATCTGTCGTATTGAAAGCAAGTCACTTCATTTATGTCTGTCCTCGACTTCTGTTTGATACACTTCCCATGTCTCCAAGTCACGGTATTTCTGAAACAATTCATATTGCTTTTCATTACTAAACTTTTTTTCCAAAGTACTCCTCTGCAGCCTTCATTCCTGATATCTTTAAATTTATCTAGAAGGTCTTATATGCTAGATCTACATCTCCTTTAGACACTTATCATTAACCCAATTTAGGGTAACAGAAATTGTTTTTTACATTGAGCACTCTCACAGGTACCTACAACTGCTCACAGTGGTCCTAGAAAGGACATAAAGTAAATTGAAATGGACATCGTTTGGCAGGTGATTTTTGTATCCTTCCTGACGATGCTGGTTCAACTTTAACATACAGGTCTAATGTTTTTTTAATCCCTAACCCAATTAATAATAGAAAAGTAATACATATTCATTCTAGAGTATTTGGAAAATATAGCTAATCCCAACAACCAATCAGAGATAACTACTTATCTTTTTCCTTTCAGTCTCTTTTTATATACACATACACTTAAACCTATCTCCTTATCAAATTGTGATGAGTTATACACATAGGGAATTGAAATAACCAAATATTTCTATAATTCTTATAAGTAAAAATAGTAATAAAAATGACATTCAATTTTTACTTGTTGATTCCGGTGTGCGTTTTCCTCTTTTAAAATAGTTGTTTAGTTTTCCAAATTGGCCAGCAAAAACTTACTTAATTTATAAAGTTACTGAAATACTCTCTCTTTAAAAATGAAAAAATATGATATAATAATTTTAATGATAAAATGAAAAAGGTAATAAAATAGAAAAAATATTTATCTTGAATGTTGGAAATTGAGACAAAGCATATTCAATGTTCAATTGAATGACTATCAAGTGGTATCTGGAAAATTTTATAGAAACCTAGTATTTTTATAGATGTTTTTGAAAAGAAATACTGGTTATTGGGTTTACTTCACTCAAGAAATCCTTTTGCTTAATAGGGGTATATCATTAATACTAGTTAAGTGTTGGTTATTGTATTGTATAAGTGTTGGTTATTGTATCTTCACAGTGCTATAAAGAACTACTTGAGAATGGGTAATTTATAAAGAAAAAGAGGTTTAATTGACTCACAGTTCTGCAGGGCTGGGGAAACTTACAATCATGGCAGAAGGTGAAGGAGAAGCAAGACACATCTTACATGGTGGCAAGAGAGAGTAAAAGAGCAAGGGGGGAATTGCCACACCTTAAAACTATCAGATCTTTTGAGAACTTACTCACTATCATGAGAACAGCAAGAGAGAAATCCACCGCCATGATCCAGTCACCTCCCCCCATGCCTTTCCTCTAACATGTGGGGATTACAATTTGAAATGAGATTTGGGTGGGGACACAGAGCCAAACCATATCAGTTGTGTAGATTGAATATTGAAATATTGAAATCTTGAGTCATATAATGAATACTGAAATATATGTAATTCTCAAATTATGAACACTTAGCTGGCAAAGGTTCTTATATGTGAATGGCTCATTAAGCTTTGGATTTCCTTTCCACTGTGTTGCTGCCCTGGATGACAACACTGCTGTCCATACAGACAGCACCACCTATTGGCCAGCACCCAGGGCCCACTCTGAGTGATTTCCTTACCACCTTTCCTTTTTCTCAAGGTCCTCATGGCCCTGCAGTGCTTGAGTACTTGTCTTTGACTGCTGGGAATCAGTTTGTTTGGCTGAAGACTGTCACACTTATCCACACATTCTTTAAAATCCCTTTCTTCTTCTTACACTTCTCTTCCAAAGCTTGCCTGGTTACCTTAGTTGAATCTCACTCTCTCTCTCTCTCTCTCTCTTCTGTCCTTCCGTCCCTCTTCCCTTCCTTTTTCTTCCTTCCTCCCTCCCTTCCTCCCTTCCTTCCTTCCTTCCATCCTTCCTTTCTTTGAGACAGGGTCTTGCTCTGTTGCCCAGGCTGAAGTGCAGTGGCACAATCTCAGCTCACTGCAGCCTTTACTTCCTAGGCTCAAGCAATCCTCCCACCCCAGCCTCCCAAGTAGCTGGGACTACAGACGCGAGCTGCCACACCTGGCTAATTTTTGTATTTGTTGTAGAGACGGGGTTTCACCATCTTGTCCAGGCTGGTCTTGAACTCCTAGGCTCAAGTGATCTGCCCACCTCAGCCTCCCAAAGTGTTGGATTACAGGCATGAGCCACTGTGCTCAGCCTCTTTTACTTTTTTTTTCTTTTCTTTATTACCAAGCTTCTGCTTTGCTTCTTCCATTCTTCTTTCCTGTTTTCTAAGGGATTACTGAAGTGTTTTATTTTTTTCTCTTTTTCTTTTTTCTCCTCATACTGGTTTGGAAATTATATATTTTCTTTGCATTCTTTCAGTAGTTGCCATTGAAATATTTTTAGTTGAATATTTCATTACATTCCCATTCCATCTTTGTTTTTATATTTAGATTTTATTTCACCAAAAATTTTAAAAACTCATAGTTGAAAATATCAGATACTTCCTCATGAGCCTTATATCCCTCCTTCCTTCCCCTGAAACAATCATTTACATTTCTTTTACTGGTCATGTTGGTATCTACTTCCATGTCTCTAAAAAACATTCATTTCTCAATTTCTTATATTTCTCAATTTTCCAGTTTTTGGTATTATCTACTGACTTCCCACTCTAGAAAATGACTGCTCCCACCATATATGTGCCTTCTTTCCTCTTCACGCCCTCACAATACAGTCATATTATGTTTGCGTTTGATATCAAGCAATATATTTACATTAATATAACTATGCACAAACTGTTCACAGCTGAGCCATGTAGGAAACTATGATAAATTTTTCTTTCCTGAGCAGCTTTTTGCTTGCCCTGGAGCTAATTATCTTGTTTTACCATTTGCTTAGTTTTCTATGTACTTATCACTAATTTAATCCCAAATTATTTGCCAGTTCTCTAAATCTTCTCTTAAGCTACTAAGATGCATTGCTTTCATCTTCCTGACAAAATATGCTTCATTCTTCTGATGGCCTATTGGTCTTTATGCCTGATGCGTAAGACATAAAGCTGTCATCTTGGGACTTTCCCTCAGCATCATTCTGGCCTCACTGTCTTACTCTCCTACATGTGTCTCCCAACCTGGGTGTATGTCCTGGGTGTGTTGCCCTGATCTTCCACTTTATTGGTTTAATTTCTTGTTTTGGTGAAGATGGTAAGTTCTGGACAGCTTAGTTAGGGAACCCTGATGTTACTGCATTTAGGTTTTCCTCCTGGACTGATCAGGTAAGATTCTTCCAATCTCCTGTCAGAAGAGTCAAAGTCTGCTACTACTATTTTGGATCTGGGTCAAGCGAGATAGTGGAGTAGAGAGAGGTGGGCATTCAGTATGCATGCATTTTCTTAAGCTGGCTTTGTTCAGTACAGTGCTCCCAACTTCAACCCTGCTTGGGATCCCCAAGCAGGAAACCTGTTCTCTCTCTCCTGTGAATATGCTTCCTGGGAAAGAGAAGGGAAATAGAAGCGGTAGTGTACCTTTTCATGATTGGAAAGGATCTAGTGATCTGACTGCTTCTTAAATAAACTTTCAACGCATCATTCTCATTTTAGTCTCTCCTCTTCACCACACTTCCAGAAGAATCTGATGCTGCCAATTCCTGACACTTGAAGGCTCTTGAGTGTAAAACAAGTTGCTTCTTGGCTTTCCTGCTGCTGGTTTAGTACTTTAATTTGGGAGTTCTGCTAAGTCTTTTCTCACTCATCCAATTTTCCAAAATTGTGTTATTATTGTTTATTTTCCCATGGCCCAGGACTTAAAAAAATTCACTGACAAATTAACTGGATTTGGGGAGGACCAAATTTGATGCATGTGTTTAATTTACTCCCTACATCTGGGAGCTCCATTAAATTTTTACAAGTATAACTTGACATAATAAAATCTAAATTTAATTAATGTATTTACCCTTCACCTCAAAAATACAAGGGCTTTAGAAACTTTCAATACTAATTACCCCATATTCCTTATTAATGTTTATTGTTTAAATTCTGCCTTTTAAATACCCTCCATCTCCAAATTAGCCATTGTTCCCCATTATTGTTGTGTATAAGAGTGCTTATTCAGATATAGCCAGATGTTTATACATTTCTTGGTCCACCATTTCTTCTTGCATGTGACTCCTTCTTTCTGGGTTCAGTGTCCTTACCATTGAAGTACATCTTTACTGAAGATGCTGTTGGTGTCCTGTCCAGAATCTCTTCAATGAGCTGGCGTACTCATCCCTTAGCTGCTGAGAGTGTTGGCTGCTAATAGTTCACACTCTTTCCCTGAGGATTCCATTCAAGCCAACAATTTCAGAAAATGCCTGGAAGGTAACAGCCTTCCCCCGTGGGTAGCTCACAGCCAATGACTGATTGATACGGGTGTACAGAACTGAGGCTCCAGAACTCCCTGTGGGATCAGACTGAGGCTAGACTTCAGCTAAACCCATATCTTTCCCAGCTTCTTTTCCTGTCCTATTCTGCTTCCTTCCTCGCTGTTCAGATTTCTTCTGAGAGCACTCCCTCAGGCAATCACTTGGACAGGAATCTAATTCTCAGGGTCAGCTGCAAGAGCCCAATCTAAGACAGTTGATAGCAGTAGTAGTTATATACACCTGAGTCTAAGGATGGGATTCTGGAGTTTGCTCACTCACCAGTGGTCCCATCAGAATCTCTTCCCTGAAGATAGTCTCAGATGTGCTCCTGCAGTGAAATTGCTAACACTTTTACTTGTAGTGAACCAGGACAGCATATAAGTAGAAGCGAATGCATTAACTTCTGTGATGTATCTAGTATTTGAGAGTACAGGTGGAAAAGTAACTTGAAAGATTGTTGAATTGGGAGGGTATTGCTAAGCACCATTGATGCACTAAGTATAGATGCCAGGATCAAATCTATTAACCACCAATTTAAACCCAAGTGTGAGAGTCAAAGGGCCTCCATGGAAGCCTTTAAAAAGTCCCTCATCACTGGCAGCCAGAAGGCCAACTGAACTGAAGCCCAGGTGCAGCCTGTACTTATGAGTGGCAGAACGCCAGAGAAGGTTAATTCTCAGCCTGTGTAAGTCTCCCTCAAGAGAATCAGGGTCCTGATTGGAAAAAAGTGGGAACATGAGAATTGGAATGGGGAAACTTATTAGACACACTTAAGGACCTTGGCCTCCCAGCTTCTCCGGAATATCTGGGCCTACAGAGGTGGCCCACTCCCTTGCTGGAAGATGGAAGACCTTCTCCTTGCTTGAAAACTATAAGCTTCGAGTAAGTCAAGTGTCTTACAAAACAATGTTGGTCCTGCTCAGAATCTACCCCCACTTCTCTCCCCGATACCAGACAGTATGAGGACTAAGTTTCAGTATAATCCAACTGGGTAAGTACAGTGTCTGTTAAGGGAGGGGAGGATCATATGGCAAAGGCACTGCAGGATCTGGCTGACTTAAGCCAGCAGGACCCCAGAGAAAATGCCTGGAAGTGGATCCCAAAGATGCTGGATCAAGAATGGGGAATAGGAAGTCAGGAAAGGGACACTTTGTTGTTATAGTAATACTGTGCAGTGACATAGGATTTGACACCCTGGCAGTGACCCTGGAATGACTGTTAGAAGCTTGGCTTTCCTAGTATTTCTGTGACATTAATCACATTTTAATCACAACTTCCATATCTGTAAAATGGAGGACTGGGACAATATTGATTATTTTTAAAAAACTGTTATTTTAGGTTTGGGGGTACATGTGAAGGTTTGTTACATAGGTAAACTCATGTCATGGGGGTTTGTTGTACAGATTACTTCATCACCCAGGTATTAAGCCCAGTACCCAATAGCTATCTTTTCTTCTCCTTTCCCTCCTCCCACCCTCCACCCTCAAGTAGACCCCAGTGTCTGTTGTCTCCTTCTTCACATTTGTAAGTTCTCATCATTTAGCTTCCACTTATAAGTGAGAACATGTGGTATTTGGTTTTCTGTTTCTGTGTTAGTTTGCTAACGATAATAGCCTCCAGCACCATCCGTGTTCCCACGAAATACATGAACTCATTCTTTTTTGTGGCTGCACGGTATTCCATGGTATAAATGTACCCAATTTTCTTTATCCAATTTGTTGTTGATGGGCATTTAGGTTGATTCTATGTCTTTGCTACTGTGAATAGTGCTGTTGAATATCAAGCAGCTATGGAATGCCTCCAGAAAGCACATAGGAGTTTGTTATCTGAAATTCAGACACTGCATGCACAAATGAATGGTAGGAAAATGACTCCGAAAAGTGAACAAAAGAATGAGAAACCAAGCCAAGATGAACATTTGCATGCACGTGTCTTTATGGTAGAATGATTTATATTCTTCAGGGTATATACCCAGTAATGGGATTGCTGGGTCAAATGGTAGTTCTGCTTTTAGCTCTTTGAGGAATCACCACACTGCTTTCCACAATGGTTGAACTAATTTGCACTCCTACCAACAGCATATAAATGTTCTCATTTCTCTGTAACCTCACCACCAGCATCTGGTTTTCTTTTTTTTTTTTTTTTTTTTGACTGTTTAGTAATAGCCATTCTGACTGGTGTGAGACGGTATCTTCATAGTGGTTTTGGTTTGCATTTCTCTAATGATCAGTAATATTGAGCTTTTGTTCATGTGCTTCTTGGCCACATGTATGCCTTCTTTTGAAAAGTGTCTGTTTATGTTCTTTGCCCACTTTCTAAGGGGTCCTTTGCCCACTTTCTATGGGGTTGTTTTTCTCTTGTAATATTGTTTAAGTTTCTTATAGATGCTGGATATTAGACCTTTGTCAGATGCACAGTTTGAAAATTGTCTCCCATTCTGTAGGTTGTCTCTTTACTCTGTTGATAATTTCTTTTGCTATGCAGAAGCTCTTAAGAGTAATTAGATCCCTCTTGTCAATTTTTGCTTTTCTTGCAATTGCTTTTGGTGTCTTTGTCATGAAATCTTTGTCTGTTTCTGTGTCCAAGATGGTATTGCCTAGGTTGTCTTCCAGAGTTTTTATAGTTTTGGGTTTTACATTTAAGTCTTTAGTCCATCTTGAGTTTATTTTTGTAAATGGTATAAAGAAGGGGTCCAGCTTCAATCTTTCGCATGTGGCTGCTTAGTCACCCCAGCACCATTTATTGAACAGGGAGTCTTTTCCCCATTGCTTGTTTTTGCCAGCTTTGTTGAAGATCAGATTATTGTAGGTGTGTGGCCTTATTTCTGGGCTCTCTATTCTGTTCTATTGGTCTATGTGCCTGGTTTTGTACCATTACCATGCTGTTTTGGTTACTGTAGCCCTGTAGTATAGTTTGAAGTCAGGTAACATGATGCCTCCAGCTTTGTTATTTTTGCTTAGGATTGCCTTGACTATTTGAGCTCTTTTTGGTTCTATATAAATTTTAAAATAGATTTTTCTAGTTCCATGAAAAAGGTTGTTGGCACTTTAGTAGGAATAGCATTGAATCTGTAAGTTCTTTGGGCAGTATGGCAATTTTAATAATACTGATTTTTCCTATCCATGAGCATGGAATGTTTTTCCATTTGTTTGTGTCTTCTCTGATATTTTTGAGCAGTGCTTTGTAATTCTCATTGTAGAGGTCTTTCACCTCCCTAGTTAGCTATATTCCTAGATATTTGATTCTTTCTGTCAATGGGATTGCCTTTCTGATTTAACTCTTGTCTTGGCTGTTGTTGGTGTATAGGAATACTAGTGTTTTTTGTACGTTGATTTTGTATGTTGAAACTTTGCTGAAGTTGTTTATCAGCTGAAGGAAATTTTGGGCCAAGACTATAAGGTTTTTTAGATATAGGCCAAGTGTTGTGGCTCATGCCTGTAATCCCAGCACTTTGGGAGGTTGAGGTGGGTGGATCACCTGAGGTCAGGAATTCAAGACTAGCCTGACCAACATGGAGAAACCCTGTCTCTATTGAAAAATGCAAAATTAGCCAGGTGTGGTGGTGTATATCACTAATCCCAGCTGCTCTGGGAGGCTGAGGCAGGAGAATCACTTGAACCCAGGAGGCGGAGGTTGTGGTGAGCCGAGATCATGCCACTGCACTCCAACATGGGCAACAAGAGTGAGACTCTGTCTCAAAAAAAAAAAAAAAAAGAGGTTTTCTAGATATAGAATAATGTCATCTGCAAAGAGAGATAGTTTGACTTCCTTTCTTCCTATTTGGATGCCCTTTATTTCTATTTCTTGCCTGACTGTTCTGTCTAGAACTTCCAATACTATGTTGAATAGGAGTGGTGAGAGAAGGCATCCTTGTCTTGTGCCAGTTTTCAAGGGGAATGCTTCCAGCTTTTCCCATTCAGTATGATGTTGACTGTGGGTTTGTCAAACATGGCTCTTATTATTTTGAGGTATGTTCCTTCAATACCTAGTTTATTGAGAGTTTTTAACATGAAGGGGTGTTGAATTTTATCTAAAGCGTTTTCGGCATCTATTGAGATAATTATGTGGTTTCTGTCTTTAGTTCTGTTTATGTGATGAATCACATTTATTGATTTGCGTATGTTGAACCAACCTTGCATCCCAGGAATGAAGTCTATTTGATCATGGTGGATTAGCTTTTTGATGTGCTGCTGGATTCAGTTTGAAATTATTTTGCTGAGGATTTTTGCATTGATGTTCATCAAGGATATTGGCCTGATGTTTTCTTTTTTGTTGTGTCTCTGCCAAGTTTTTGTATCAGAATGATGGTGGCTTCGTAGAATGAGCTGGGGAGGAGTCCTTCCTCCCCAGTTTTTTGGAATAGTTTTTATAGAAATGGTACCAGCTCTTCTTTGTACATATAGTAAAATTCAGCTGTGAATCCATGAGGTCCTGAGCTTTATTTTGGTTGGTAGGCTATTTATTACTGACTTACTTTTGGAGATCATTATTGGTCTATTCAGGGGATCAGTTTCTTCCTGGTTCAGTCTTGGGAGGGTGTATGTGTCCAGGAATTTATCCATCTCTTCTAGGTTTTCTAGTTTGAGTGCATAGTGGTTTCTAGTGGTTATTTTTATTTCTGTGGGGTCAGTGGTAACATTCCCTTCGTCATTTCCAGTTGTGTTTATTTGGATCTTCTCTCTTTTCTTCTTTATTAGTCTAGCTAGTAGCCTATCTATCTTATTAATTTTTTAAAAGAACCAACTCCTGGATTTGTTGATCTTTTGAATGGTTTCTCGTGTCTCAGATTCCTTCATTTCAGCTCTGATTTTGGTTATTTCTTGTTTTCTGCTAGCTTTGTGGTTGATTTGTTCTTGCCTCTCTAATTCCTTCATCTGTTACGTTAAGTTGTTAATTTGAGATCTTTCTAACTTTTTGATGTGGGCATTTCATGCGATGAATTTCCCTTTTAACACTGCCTTAGCTATGTCCTAGAGATTCTGGTATGTTATATTTTTGTTCTCATTAGATTCAAAGAACTTCTTGATTTCTGCCTTAACTTCATTATTTACCCAAAAGCCATTCTGGAGCATGTTTAGTTTTCATGTCATTGCCTGATTTTGAATGATTTTCTTGGTCTTTGACTTCTATTTTTATTGCGCTGCGGTCAGAGAGTGTGTTTCGTATTATTTCAGTTATTTTACATTTGCTGAGGATTGTTTTACGTCCAATTAAGTAGTTGCCTTTCGAGTAGATGCCATGTGGCGATGGGAAGAATGTATATTCTGCTGTTTTTGAGTAGAGAGCTCTGAAGAGGTCTATCAGATCCATTTGGTCCAATGTTGAGTTCAGGTCCTGAGTATCTTTGTTAATTTTCTGCCTCAATTATGTGTCTAATATTGTCAGTGGAGTGTTGAAGTCTCCCACTATTAATGTGTGGGAGTCTATGCCTGTTTGTAGGTCTCTAAGAACTTGCTTCATGAATCTGGGTGCCCCTGTGTTCGGTGCATATACATTTAGGATAGTTGGATCTTGTTGTTGAATCGTACCCTTTACCATTATGTAATGCCCTTCTTTGTCTTTTTTGATCTTTGTTGTTTTGAAGTTTGTTTTGTCTGAAATTAAGATTGCAACCTCAGCTTTTTTCTGTTTTCCATTTGCTTGGTAGATTTTCCTCCATGCCTTTATTTTGAGCCTTTTGGTGTCATTATGTGTGAGATGGGTCTCTTAAAGACAGCATACCATTGGGACTTGCTTTTTTATCCATCTTGTCATTCTGTGCCTTTTAAGTTGAGCATTTAGCCCATTTACATTCAAAGTTACCATTGTTGGGTGTGGATTTGATCCTGTCATTGTGTTGTTAGCTGATTATTATGTTGGTTTGTTTGTGTGGTTGCTTTACAGTGACACTATTCTGTGTGTTTAAGTGTGTTTTTGTATTAGCTCGTAGTGATCTTTTCTTTCTATATTTAGTGCTTCTTTTGAGATCTCTTGTAAGGCAGGTCTGGTAGTAAAGAATTCCTTCAACATTTGCTTATCTGAAAAGAATCTTATTTTTCCTTTGCTTGGGAAGCTTAGTTTGGCTGCATATAAAATTATTGGTTGAAGATTGTTTTCTGTAAGAATGTTGAATATAGGCCCCCAATCTCTTTTGGCTTATAGGGTTTCAGCTGAGAGGTCCACTGTTAGCCTGATGGGATTTCCTTTGCAGGTAACCTGCCTTTTCTTTCTGGCTGCCTTTAACATTCTTTCTTTCATTTTTACCTTGGAAAATCTGACAATTATGTGTCTTGGGGATGATCTTCCTGTGTAGAATCTTGCAGGAGTTGTCTGTATTTCCTGTATTTGACTGTTGTCCTCTCTAGCAAGGTTGTGGAAGTTTTCATGGACAATATATTGAAATATGTTTTCCAAACTGTTTGCTTTCTCCCCCTTCCTTTCAGGGATGCCAGTGATTTGTAGATTTGGCTTCTTTACATAATCCCCTACTTCTTGGAGGTTTTGTTCATTCCTTTTTATTCTTTTTTCTTTATTTTTGTCTGACTGTCTTATTTCAGAAAGCCAGTTTTCGAGTTCTGAGATTCTTTCCTCAGCTTGGTTTATTCTACTGTTAATACTTGTGATTGCATTGTGAAATTCTTGTACTGTGTTATTCAGCTATGTCGGACCCATTAGGTTCTTTATTATACTGGCTATTTTGTCTTTCAGCTCCTGTATCACTTTATTGTGATTTGTAGTTTCTTTGGATTGGGTTTTGCTGTCCTCCTGAATCTCAATGATCTTCATTCCTATACATATCCTAAATTCTGTTTCTGTCATTTCAGCCAGCTCAGCCTGGATAAGCACTCTTGTTAGAGAATTTGTATGGCCATTTGGAGCACATATGACACTCTGGCCATTTTAATTTTTGGAGTTCTTGCGTTAGTTCTTTCTCATCTCCATGTGTGGGTGTTCCTTTAACTGCCATATAGATTGAGTACAGTCAATAGACTTCTGGCTGTTTTCACTAGGCTGAGGCCTTGTGCAGGGTCTTTTTTTGAAGCTGACTTCTTGTCTCTAGTTTCAGAGGTGAGTATGTTAGTGAGGTATTCTTGGTGTTGAAGCTTTGGGGTGTGATCCAGTAGGTGGCACTTAGGCTTATTGGTCAACTGGTAGACTCTTGCTCAGTTGTGTGGCTCCTCTATGTTTTCTCATAGTTACAGCTGTGTTCACTCTCGATGCTCTGAAAGTGTGGGTTCCTCTCCCCCTTGAGTGCCAGCTGTATGGCTGTAGATTGTGGTTTGACACTCCTGGCTGCCCACTGCAGCTCTGGGGCAATGTCAGTGTTTACGTTCCTTCCTCAACTTGGCGGCAACAGAGGAAAGGACCTTAGTAGTGGTTGTGGTCAGGGGTCTTTTGCTTGTATCCTGGGAGCTCCACACCAGAGAGATGTAGGTCAGCAATTCCTCAGTGCAATCACCCCAGGATGAAGGGTCTGTGCTGTGGGCTCAAGCCAGGGGTTCTCTCTGGTGATGAGTGGGGGTTGGGGGTGTGGGAACCATGGGAGACGGACTGGCCTCCTCTTCTTGGGTTGATTGCAGCTTGTTGGAGGTATAAATAAGGTACTTAGGGTCTTCTCTTCTTCATTAGTCTGAGGGTAGCAAGGGCAGTTCTACTGCAGAGACAGTGGCAGAGAGGCTTTCAGGAACAGTATTTATTAACCAATTGTTTCAACAAATATTTACTGACAATTCAACATGTACCAGACACTGTGTTAGGCAAGGGGTCTTCAATGGGCCACAAGTAGATGTGGTCCTTGACCATGTCATTGGAGCTTAATGGGAGAGACTGATAGTAAGCAAGTAAACAAGAACAAAAAAATAAGGTAATTCAGGTTGTGACAACCTCTCTGAAGGAAATATATAGGATGCTATAATAGTGACTAGAGCAAGGAACGGCCTAATTGAGCTAAGATAATCAGGTAGGGTGTCTGTAAGGAGTTGACATTAAGCTAACAACTAAAGAATAAGAAGCCAGCCATGTAAATAGCTTGGATAAGAGCTTTCCAGGCTGAAGGGAATGGAAATACACAGGCCTAGAGGTAAGAAGGAGATGGGTGTCTTCCGGAAACTGATAAAAAGTCAGAGTGGCTCAGCTATGCTGATATGTCCCCTGGTATTTTTTAAGATTTTTGGCCGGGTACAGTGGCTCATGCCTGTAATCCCAGCACTTTGGGAGGCCGAGGTGGGCAGATCACGAGGTCAGGAGTTCAAGACCAGCCTGACTAACATAATGAAACCCCATGTCTACTAAAAATACAAAAATTAGCTGGGTGTGGTGGCACGTGCCTGTAATCTCAGCTACTCAGAAGGCTGAGGCAGGAGAATCTCTTGAACTTGGGAGGCGGAGGTTACAGTGAGTTGCGATCGCACCACTGCACTCCAGCCTGGGTGACAGCAAGACTCCATCTCAAAAAAAAAAAATTAATTTTTGAGGGTATATTATAGGTGTATATATTTATGGGGTACATGTAATATGTTGATACAGGTATTCAATATGTAATAATCACATTACGGAGAATGGAGTATTCATCACCTCAAGCATTTATTCTTTGTGTCACAAAGAGTCCCATTATACTCTTAGTTATTTTAGAAAGTACAATTAAATTATTATTGACTATAGTCACCCTGTTGTGCTATGAAATACTCGGCTGTATTCATTCTTTCCAACTATTTTTTTTGTACCCATTAACCATCCTCACCTCCCTACCCACCCCACCCCTATTACACTACCCAGCCTCTGGTAGCCATCCTTCTACTCTCTATTTTCATGTTTTCAATTGTTTTGATTTCTAGATCCAAAAATAAGTGAGAACATGTGATGTTTGTCTTTCTGTGCCTGGCTTATTTCATTTAACATAATGACCTCCGGTTCCATCCATGTTATTGCAAATGACAAGATCTCATTCTTTTTTATGGCTGAATAGTAATCCATTGCAGATAAGTGCCACATTTTCTTTATCCATTCCTCTGTGAATGGACACTCAGGTTGCTTCCAAATTTTGGCTGTTGTGAATAGTGCTGCAACAAACATGGGAGTGCAAATATATTTTCTATATACTGATTTCCTTTCTTTTGAGTATATACCCAGTAGATTGTTGGGTCATATGGTAACTCTATTTTTACTTTTATGAGAAACCTCCAAACTCTTCTCCATAGTGGTTGTACTAATTTACATTCTCATCAACAACATATGAGGGTTTCCTTTTCTCTACCTCCTCTCCAGCATTTGTTACTGCCCTGGTGTTATTTTGCTTCTTAAGTATTAGAACTATACTTAGTGTTATATGTTCTGTGATTAGAAGTAAAACTGCCTTTGCTATATAGTATGCATAGAATATTTTAAAGTTATTACTAGAAGCTGACACATTGTTGTTTTCTATTACAAACAATAAAATTAGTTTCCATTTATTGAGGGCCTGTTTCATGTTAACTGCTTTACAGATATTCCTTATCTCATTTAATTCTCCCAACAATCCTACAAGAAAGCTAATATTATCCCATTTTATAGATGAGGAAATTGAGGCTTACAGAGGGCAAGTAACTTGCCCAAAGTCACTCAGTACCAGCAAATGGACTTTTTCCCCTCTCCCTGCCCCCAAATACCAGCCCCCCACTGCAAAAAAACAAAAACAAAAACAAAACAAAACTACTTCTGTAGAGCTAGTCGTCTATTTCCAAATGCAAGGCTTAAATTTTAAGCCTTGGAGTTTTCAATTTAAAGCCTTTGCCATGAAATACAGCATATTACTTTATAATAGAAAACAAATAGAAAGAGCCTTTCATGATAGATACAGTGAACACTAAATTCTTTCTTTTAGGCTGCATCTAACAATTCTCTCCTTAACCCAATAGATATTATTTCCACAAATTAGCCCAGTTTTGATTTGGATGGCAAGACTCAAAGACAACAACAACAATAAAATCACAACTTGATTTAAAAGTTAAATTCAATAAACTGTAGAAGCAGCATATTAGTCTGTTCTTACACTGCTAATGAAGACATACCCGAGACTAGGTAATGTATAAAGGAAAGAGGTTTAATTGACTCACAGTTTCACATGGCTGGGGAGGCCTCACAATCATGGTGGAAGGCTAAAGGCACGTCTTACATGGTGGCAGGCAAGAGGTCCTGTGTAGGGGAACTCCCCTTTATAAAACCATCAGAACTTGTAAGACTTATTCACTATCATAAGAACAGCATGGAAAGAAGACACCCTCATAATTCAATTACCTCCACCAGGTCCCACAATTGATCCCACGTGGGGATTATTATAATTCAAGGTGAGACTTGGGTGGGCATACAGAGCCAAACCATATCATCTGAAGGGGGCCAGCCCCTCCACAGCTGTGGGTATTTCTCGTCAGGTGGGATGGGGAGACTGAGAAAATAAATAAAACACAGAGACAAAGTATAGCAAAAGAACAGTGGGCCAAGGAGACCAGCGCTCCACATACAGAGGACCTGCATCGGCACCAGTCTCTGAGTTCCCTTAGTATTTATTGATTACTATTTTGATTATCTCAGCAAGGAGAATGTGGCAGGAGAACGGGGTGATAGTGGGGAGAAGGTCAGCAGGAAAACATGTGAGCAAAGGAAACTGTGTCACAAATAAGTTCAAGGGAAGGTACTATGCCTGGATGTGCATGTAGGCCAGATTTATGCTTCTCTCCACCCAAACATCTCGGTGTAGTAAAGAGTAACAGAGCAGCATTGCCGCCAGCATATTTCATCTCCAGCCACAGGGCAGTTTTCTCCTATCTCAGAATAGAATGAATGTATGATTGGGTTTTACACTGAGACATTCCATTCCCAGGGGCATGCAGGAGACAGAGGCCTTCCTCTTATCTCAACCACAAGAGGCCTTCTTCTTTTACTAATCTTCCTCAGCACAGACCCTTTATGGGTGTCAGGCTGGGGGACAGTCAGGTCTTTCCCTTCCCACGAGGCCGTATCTCAGGCTGCCTCAGTTGGGGGAAACCTTGGACAATACCCAGGCTTTCTTGGGCAGAGGCCCCTGAGGCTTTCCGCAGTGCATTGTGCCCCTGGTTAATCGAGAATGGAGAATGTCAATGACTTTTACCAGCATACTGCCTGTAAACATATTGTTAACAAGGCACATTCTGCACAGCCCTAGATCCCTTAAACCTTGATTCCATACAACACATGTTTCTGTGAGCACAGGCTTGGGGCTAAAGTTACAGATTAACAGCATCTCAAGGCAAAACAATTGTTCAGGGTACAGATCAAAATGAGTTTCTTATGTCTTCCTTTTCTACATAGACACAGGAACAGTCTGATCTCTCTTTCTTTTCCCTACAATCATTCCACCCCTGGCCCCTCTCAAATCTCATGTCCTCACATTTCAAAAACACAATCATGCGCTTTCAACAATCCTCAAAAAACTGAACTCATTTCAGCATCAACCCAAAAGTCCAAGCCCAAAATTTCATCTGAAACAAGGCAAGTCCCTTCCACTTATGAGTCTGTAAAATCAAAAGCAAATTAGTTACATCCTAGATATAATGGGGGTATAGGCATTGCATAAATATACCCATTCCACATGGGAGAAATTGGCCAAAACAAAGAGGTTACAGGGCCTATGCAAGTCCAAAATCCAGCGGGGCAGCCAAATCTTAACACTCTGAAATGATCTTCTTTGACTCCATGTCTCACATCCTGATGCAAGAACTGGGCGCCCATAGCCTTGGGCAGCTCCACCCCTTTGGCTTTGCAGGCTACAGCCCCTCTCCTGGCTGCTTTCATGGGCTGGCACTGAGTGTCTTTTCTAGGTGTACAGCGCAAGCTGTTAGTGTATCTACCATTCTGGGGTCTGGAGAACAGTGCCCCTCTTCTCACAGCTCCACTAGGCAGCACCCCATTGGGGACTCAGTGTGCAGGCTCCAACTCCACATTCCCCTTCTGCACTGCCATAGCAGAGGTTCTCCATGAAGGCCCTGCCCCTACAGCAAACTTCTTCTTGGACATTCAGGCATTTCCATACATCCAATGAAATTGAGACAGAGGTTTCCAAACCTTGGTTCTTGACTTCTGTGCACCCACAGGCTCAACACCATGTGGAAGCTGCCAAGCTGCACCCTCTGAAACCACAACCCGAGCTCTACCTTGGCCCCTTTTAGCCATGGCTGGAGCGGCTAGGATGTAGGACACCAAGTCCCTAGGTTCCTCACAGCAATGGGGCCCTGGACCTGGCCCAGGAAACCATTTTTTCCTCCTAGGTCTCCAGTCCTGTGATGGGAGAGGCTTCCAGGAAGGTCTCTGACATGCCCTAGAGACTTTTCCCCATTGTCTTGGGTATTAACATTTGGCTCCTTGTTACATGCACATTTCTGCAGCTGGCTTGAATTTCTCCTCAGAAAATGAGTTTTTCTTTTCTATCACATCATCAAGCTGCAAATTTTCCAAACTTTTATGCCCTGCTTTCCTTTTAAACATAACTTACAATTCCAAGCCATATCTTTGTGAATAAATAAAACTGAATGCTTTTAACAGCACCCAGGTCACCTCTTGAATGCTTTGCTGCTTAGAACTTTCTTCCACCGGATGCCCTAAATCATCTCTCTCAAGTTCAAAGTTCCACAAATCTCTAGGGCAGGGGCAAAATGCCACCAGTCTCCTTGCTAAAGCATAACAAGAGTCACCTTTGCTTCAATTCCTAACAAACCCCTCATCTCCATCTGAGACCACCTCAGCCTGTACTTTATTGTCCATATCACTTCAGCATTTTGGTCAAAGCCATCAACAAGCCTCTAGCAAGTTCCAAACTTTCCCATACTTTTCTGTCTTCTTCTGAGTCCTCGAAGCTGTTCCAACCTCTGCCTGTTACCCAGTTCCAAAGTAGCTTCCACATTTTCTGATGTCTTTACAGCAGCACTCCACTACCCAGTACCAATTTACTGTATTAATCTGTTCCCATGTTGCTAATGAAGACATACCCGAGAGTGGGTAATGTGTAAAGAAAAGAGGTTTAATTGATTCACAGTTCCACATGGCTGGGGAGGCCTCGCAGTCATGGTGTAAGGCAAAAACCACATCTTACATGGCAGCAGGCAAGAGGGCATGTGTAGGAGAACTCCCCTTTTTAAAACCATCAGATCTCATGAGACTTACTCACTATCATGAGAACAGCATGGGAAGAAACCCCCTCCCCATGATTCAATTACCTCCCACGGGGTTCCTCCAAGAACACAAGGGGATTATTACAATTCAAGGTGAGAGACTTGGGTGGGGACACAGAGCCGAACCAGCTCAGGAGGAACTACACAACAATAAAAACAACAGAAAACGTAACATGTAACCAATAGCAACTGAAATGTTTACGTTTTTGGTGATTATATCAACATCAAAGAAATGCAAATCAAAACCACAATAAGATGCCATCTCACACCAATCAGAATGGCTATTATTACAAAGTCAAAAAATAACAGATGTTGGCAAGGCTGCAGAGAAAAGGGAATACTTATATACTGTTTGTAGGAATGTAAACTAGTTCAGCCACTGTGGAAAGCAATTTGGAGATTTCTCAAAGAATTTAAAATAGAACTACCATTTGACCCAGCAATCTCATGACTGGGTATATACCCAAAGGACAATAAATAATTTTACACAAAAGAGACATGCACTTGTATGCTAATCACAGCACTATTCACAATAGCAAAAACGTGGAATCAACCTAGGTGTCCATCAATGGTGGATTGGATAAAGAAAATGTGGTACATATACGCCATGGAATACTATGTAGCCATAAAAAAGAATGACATTATGTCCTTTGTGGCAACATGGATGCAACTGGAGGCCATTATCCTAAGTGAATTAACACAGAAATGGAAAATCAAATACTGCATGTTCTCACTTATAAGTGGGAGCTAAACATTGGGTACACATGGACATAAAGATGGGAAAAATAGATCCTGGCAAATACTAGAGGGAGGAGAGAAGAAGGGGGCAAGGGTTGAAAAACCAACTATTGTGTATTTTTCTCACTACCTGGGTAACGGACTCAACTTCATGAAACATACCCATGTAATAAACCTGCACATGTACCCACTGATTCTAAAATAAAAGTTGAAACTATACATATTTTTTAAAGAAGCTACCTCAGTACTCTTTGTGAAAGGTGACAAGGCAGTGGAAATGGAATGGTAAGGCGATCAGGAATTCAAAAGACATTTTTAAAGTGTAATCCTCTTGAAACAGAATGAAGAAGAAGACAAGAGGATTGGATACACATACAGGTTGCAAAGAGGGTCTGTAGCACCTCTCTCTTTTGAAATGTATAATTACACTACTGTATACCTAGGGAATGTTTCAGAGAAGAAAGATGGGGAATACAATAAATTGACTAATTACTTGAGATTTTCTCTAGTTTTATCTGGTTTAAAAACAGTATTATAAATATATCCTAATTCAGAGGAAGTAATCAATGACGAATTATCCTATATTCTATCTCTTCTGTATGAGACCATTCCAATATTTCTACTCTGGAGGACGCTAATAGGCTCACCCTGGAATGCCCAACTTCCTCTATACTGACTTACAACTTTGTTCAAATCCCAAGATACATCTATGTAAATAATGCAATCAACTCTTCACATATGCAGAATGAGCTTGGCCTTTAGCAAGATGTAACAACTTAACATTATAGGATGCTCCTATAACTCCGTCATTCATTCTTCCTAAATCAATGTCTTCCATCCTCTGAGTCCTTTCTCTTTAATTCTATTTTTGTTATTTTTCTTTGCCTTAGGTTTCACTCACTTTTATGGTAAACACTTTAGGTAATATTTTTCATGAAGGATGGATTATGAAAATAAATGATACATTGTAAGCCATTGACATGTTATACCATTGGGATAAATGATGGTAGGTAATTTTAGAGTTTCAATTTGATAAAAGGGGCTTCGCCAAATGATAAGGCTTAGCATTAAGGTATTTCAAATTGTTATATATTCAGATTTAATTTTATGAAAGTTAAGATCATGTAATATGCCTCAACCACATAAATTGATAAATTACCTTCATCTCCAGTCAACCATTTACACCATTTTCCAAGAGATGAGTTTTAATGTAATGTGAGGCAGCTTTATTCTCTGAGTCATCTGTAGTACTTCTTGTTACTACAGCCAAAGACCTCATCAGCATTTTCATTTTCATTATAAATTCCAAACCATCAATAAAAATTAAAAACTCAACACCAGTTTATGAAACAAGGGGGAGAAGAGAAAAATATGTATATTTTCTTGCATATTTTGGGATCGTGTATAAGAGAAAATGATTTTTTCTGCAAAGACAAGATTGAATTGGGCATTCTGAATACATGTTGTTGAGATAAGCCAAATATTTGGTCCTAGAAGCTGAGAGGATATGATACTGAATGATTATTTAGCACTAAAGGTTTATCTTCAAAGAGGTCTTGAAATAAGAATATGTAATTAGGCTGGGCACAGTGGCTCACAACTGTAGTCCTAGCACTTTTGGAGGCCAAGGCAGGTGGATCACTTGAGCTCAGGAGTTGAAGACCAGACTGGGCAATATGGCAAAACCTTGTATTTTTGTAGAAAAAGTATAAAAATTAGCCAGGTGTGGTGGTGTGTGCCTGTAGTCCCAGCTACTCAGAAAGCTGAGGTGGAAAAATTACCTGAGCCTAGTGGGGTCAAGGCTGCAGTGAGCTGTGATCAGGCCACCGCACTCCAGCCTGGGTAACAGAAAGAGTAAGACAAAGAAAAGGAAAAGGAAAAGGAAAGGAAGGAAGAAGAATATACAATTAGTTTCTACTTGAGTCTTACCGGAATGCATTTTACTGAATTTCACTTATGCAAACATATACTGGCTTACAAAAATGTATGCAACATCTTTATGAGGCAGATACTGTGTTGTGAAACACAAGAGGCAAACAATGTAGAAGATTCCTCTTTCTGTTAAGTTTATAGTCCAGAGGAGAAGAAATACATTACATATACAACCTCTAATTCATTCATTTATTCTTTTCTTTTCTAGTTGTTGAGACAGAGACTTGCTCTGTTACCCAGGCTGGAGTACAGTGGTGCAATCATGGCTCACTGCAGCCTCCACCTCCTGGGCTCAAACAGTCCTCCCACTTCAGCCTCCTGAGTAGCTGGGACCACAGTCATGCACCACCACACATGGCCAATTATTTTATTTTTTGTAGAGATGGGATCTCACTATGTTGTCCAGGCTGGTCTTGAACTCCTGAGTTGAAGCGATCCTCCTGCCTTGGCCTCCCAAAGTGTCGATTACAAGTGTGAGCCACTGCACCCGCCCCTCATTCACTTATTTATTGACAAATGTTTACTGAGGTATTATCATATGTCAGGCATTTTTCTAGGCATTGGGAATATAGCAGTGTATGAACCTGATACTCACTGCTTTGATGGAGCGTAACTTCTGATTGTGGTAAGTACTGCAGAAGAAAATGCAGGCTGCTACAGGAACCCCTTCAACATAAAGAACTGTATGAAAATATTGTACAAAAATATGATTCAAAAATCCTAAATGAAATTCACATTATCATTTACGTGTAAGGGCAGAAGAAAATTTTTGAATATGCATGCATTTATAAATATATCCCCATGTACTCTTTTGCAGAAAACTAAAAGAACATAGAACTAGAATTTACACATCAAAATAGAAAAAGATGACCTGAAGATAAAAGAGATGATAGGATTTTTTTTTTTTTTTTTTTTTTTGAGGCAGAGTCTCGCTCTGTCACCCAGGCTTGAGTGCAATGGTGGGATCTTGGCTTATGGCTCACTGCAACCTCTGCCTCCCGGGTTCAAGCAATTCTCCCGCCTCAGCCTCCCAAGTAGCTGGGATTACAGGCATCTGCCACCATGCCTGGCTAATTTTTTGTATTTTTAGTAGAGACGGGGTTTCACCATGTTGACCAGGCTGGTCTTGAACTCCTGACCTCAGGTGATCCACCCGCTTTGGCCTCCCAAAATGCTGGGATTACAGGTGTGAGCCTCCACACGCAGCCAATGGTAGGAATCTTATAGAGGATATGTTGAGAACAAAAGCAACCTGAAGCCACACAGCTTAAAAAGATTAGGAACTGTTTGGTTGGGCATGGTGGCTCATACCTGTAATCCTAGCACTTTGGGAGGCCAAGGCAGGAAGATTACTTGAGACCAGGAGTTCAAAACCAGTCTTGCCAACATAACAAGAATCTGTCTCTATATAAGAAGATTAAAAATTAGCTGGGCATGGTGGCATGTGCTTGTAGCCCTAGCTACTTGGGAGGCTGCGGTGGAAGGATCACTTGGGCCCAGGCATTCCAGCTTATGATTTCAGTGAGTTATGATCACAACACTGAATTCCAACCTAATGGATGGAGAGAGACTATGTCTCTAAAAATAAAAAATAAAAAGATTAGGAACTGTCTGCACTAAGATGACTTTACTATTCCAAGAAATCCTTGCCTAAGAAAGTAAAGTTGCAAATTACTTTTTTGTCTTGGAAACTTTCCGATCTATGTATCTGTACTCATACAGCCTCATCGGGCTAAACAGCCTTCTTTTCAGAACAGTAGATCACTCAACTGGGTTTTCAAGTGACTGTTTACCTTTCAAGGCTGGCTTTATAGGTCTTGCCTCACTGTATCCAGCAATCCAAACTTTACCCTATCCCAGTCAGGACTGCACACCTCATATTGAAAGACATACCTTAGAACCAGACTCCCCAAAGCTTACAAATATCCCACCCTTGACTCCCTTTTCTGAGGCTACTAAGATTATGTGAAGACAGTCATCTTCCTTACTGCAGTGAGCAATAAACTTGGTTTTTGTTCATCAGTAAACCATTTTGGTGGTTTCTGGAGGAGCCAGCAGTTGGCAATGGTTATAAATCTAAATCTAAAAGCCATGTATAAAAGACTGATGAATCTAGTAACATAAAAATAAACTGCATGATAAATATCATAAACAAAGTCAAAAGACAACTGACAACCAGGTTAAAAACATGCTTTCAACATATATTACAGGAAAAGGGCTAATATTCCTAATATGTAAATAATTGTTAGAAATTAAGAGATCAAGCACCCATTAGAAAAAATGGGAAAAGGGCATCAATAGACAATTCACACACACACACACACACACACACACAGAGACACACAAATGGCTTTAACAACTCTATAGAAACAGAAAGTAGGTCATATCTTTGTTCTGTGAAAAGGCTGTGCACACAAAGCTATTCCCAAATGCTGAAGAAGCCCAGAAACCAAAGAAGGAAGTGAACAAATCCAGTTCGTCAGTAATGGGTGATTTATTGAGGAACTTATGGACAGAAGTGTGATCTTGGATGACTGCAAGACAGGTAGATCTCCACACTGTTATTTCCCAGACCCAAGGTTTGTGTACCATATGGAAAGGGTACACATGCTCCAGCAAAACGATTAAAGGCAACCCTCCAGAACAGGCGAAAATGCTATGTGTGTCCTAGCCTATAATTTGTGTGATAACATCAGGGTTGTTTTGATCTTATACTAGGGACAGTAAATAAAGTAGAAACCAGAAGTTATTCATGGGACTGGGTCTAATCAGAAGTCAACATGGTGGATTAGCGTCCAAGATGGGGTGGTTTTTGTCTCCACAACCTTAACAAGGCTGTTGAAAAAGTGATCCATAAATACACATATAATCACTTTTCAAAGTCAAGAAACAATAGATGCTGGCGAGGCTGTGGAGAAAAAGGAATGCTTTTACACTGTTGGTGGGAATGTAAATTAGTACAAGCATTGTGGAAGACAGTGTGGTGATTCCTCAAGGATCTAGAACCAGAAATACCATTTGACCCAGCAATCCCATTACTGTGTATATACCAAAAGGAATATAAATCATTCTATTATAAAGATACATGCATGTGTATGTTTACTGCAGCACTATTCACAGGAGCAAGGACATGGAATCAACCCAAATGTCCATCAATGGTAGACTGGATAAAGAAAATGTGGTACATATACACCATGGAATATTATGCAACCAAAGAAAGGAAAGAGATCATGTCCTTTGCAGGGACACAGATGAAGCTGGAAGCCATCATCCTCAGCAAACTAACACAGGAACAGAAAACCAAGCACCTCATGTTTCTCACTCATAAGTGTGAGCTGAACATTGAGAACACATGGACACAGGGAGGGAAATAACACACACTCGGGCCTGTCAGCGGGTTGGGAAGAGGGAGAGCATCAGGATAAATAGCTAATGCATGCAGGGCTTGATACCTAGGTGATGGGTTAGTAGGTGCAGCAAACCACCGTGGCACACATTTACCTACGTAATAAACCTGCATGTCCTGCACATGTACCCCAGAACTTAAAATACAATTTTTTAAAAAGAAAAATACATATATATACCTGTAAAGTGCAAATTCATAACTAGAAAAATGCAGATTAAAAAAATGCTAAGCTATTATTTCTCACCTATCAGATGGGTAAAAATTAAAATAAAATTTTAACTAATAAAATGTACTAAATTAAAATATGACAACACATTTTGTTAGCCAGATCTTAGGAAAATAATCACTCTTTTCATTGCTGTTAAGGAATACAAACTGCTACAACCCTTCTCAAGGGAAACTTGGCAATACCTAATATAACTACATAAGGAGCCCTATAATCTCACTTATAAAATCTACCCTGAAGATACATATCCAACAATATGAAAAACATATGTACAAGTTTATTCATTGTAAGATTATATATAATTGCTAAATTTAAGAAACAAATACTCATATATAGAACAGTGGTTTTTAAATAAACTCTAATAATTCACACAGGAGAGCACTATGCAGCTATAAAATAAATGAGGAAGAGCTCTATGGATTCATATTCAGAGATTTCCAAGGTATATTTTTATGTGGAAAGCAAAGTACAGAAGAATATCTAGAGTATACTACTCTTCATGTAAGAAAGAAGTATATATAAGAAAATATACATATATCCACATATATGAGGAAAAACATACTGGAAAGTTAAACTAGAAACAAATGAGATTCGTCACCTACAGAGGTTAAGTAGGATCAGTGTGGAAAAATTGGGGAATAAAAATGGGTAGAAATGATTAGAGAGATGTGACACACTCAGAGTATTCCTATATGCATAGCTCTAATTCCTATAAATATGGTAATGTTTCACCCCCCCAAAAAATAAATAATTAAAATTAACCAGGATGTTGGGGAAGGGAAGACCCAAAATGGAATATAAGCAGTAACAAATAAGCCCAACTGTATTACAAATAAATGACATAATTATACTAAATGGGATAAAAAATAAAAGAATTATCTAACATAACCTGGAGAACATTATTTTAACCATATACTAGAAGGCTAAAAACAGAAAGAACTGTATGAAAATTTTGTACTTTAGTAAATTTGTTTTTCATAGGGTATGGGTTAGTATTTCTGAAACTACTTTATGTATGTACTAGGATTGAGTAATTAAGAAATACACTGTGGATATTGAGAGCCAGTTTTCTGTCAGATAAAAGAGTTAAAATAGAGAAATTGTGAAGTAGCACAAACTCCAGATTGAAATCAGAGCAGGAATATCAGTGTGAATTCATGGATATACATGCAGTGAGATCCCAGTAGCAATGAGCACAACTAGTTTCCAGATCTTGGTTTCTAAATACCATTCTCGATGAAAGGAACCAGAGCTCCTTGGGGAAATGACTGAGTCCAGACTAGAGCAGGAGGAATGCAAGATGAGCTTAGACCATTTAAAGTGCCAGAAAGTAAAGACATGTTCACAAAATAATGGGGGCCAAGTCTACAAGACGTCGGAGCCAACTTAAAGGAGCTACTAATGCCCAAATCTGGACAATTTGAACAACATGATCAACTGTGTGAAAGGCAAGTACAGAAGTGTATCTAGAATATATTACTCTTCATGGGGTTGTTTTACAGTTAACTTTTTTTTAATAAGTAGAAGGAGTACACTCTAGAATAATGATAAAAAGTATAGTATAGTAAATACATAAACCAGTAACATAGTCACTTATTATCATTATTAAGTATTATGTACTGTACATAATTGTATGTGCCATACTTTTACATAGCTGACAGTGCAGTAGGTTTGTCTGCATTGCATCACTATAATCCTGTGAGCAATACGCTGTGTTACCAGGTTATGAAAGCTACCATGTCACTACATGATAGGAAATTTTCAGTTCAATTATAATCTTATGGGA
Organism: Homo sapiens; assembly: GCF_000001405.40. Lineage (NCBI taxonomy): Eukaryota > Metazoa > Chordata > Mammalia > Primates > Hominidae > Homo > Homo sapiens. The sequence goes on from NC_000010.11 coordinate 87,481,070, forward strand.
CCACCCACTATCATACATGTGGCCTGCCATTGACCTAAATGTAATTATGAGGTGCATGACTATATATAAATATACATATGTTGGACATTCTGATAGGAAAATGCCTGGATATATAAGAAACAATGCTTTTACCTCTGAAAATCTGAATAAGGGAGGCTAGAGAGATAGAAAGACTTTTACTCTTCATATAATAATCTTTTTAAAAAATAATAAACTTTTAAAAATACTGTCAATATTATCCTAGGAAGCATAGTTTTATTTCTGTTTTCATTAATTAATTTGGACCCAGCATTGATGAAGTAAAGTTTAACTTTTATTTTAGTTTTTCTCGATTGTTGAATGAACATTCTTTCTCCCAGTTTCCAATTATGTTATCTACATTGAATCACTGCTTGACTCCATTTCCATATTTGTAGTGTTAGTCCCTGGTAAGACAATAAACTTCCTTATAAGCAAATTTAGAAGCAATTATTTAATTCAAGCTTGCACAATTTTCTCGAGTCCAGCACGAGTTGTTGCCACATCTAACAATAGCAAAGTAAAGGTTGCAATGCTTACTAGTGATGATTTCTTGAGGAAGAAAAATAAGTCTTACTTAACAATAGAAACCTTTTTTGTCTTGCTGCCCAAGTCACCAATTTTATATAGGGGAAGTAGTTAAAATTAACTAATTATGACAATTCCAGGGTAAATTAATTTCTTAGAAATGTTTCAGAGAATAATACTTTCTGCCTCAAAAGTATGCATTTATTATGTATCAAATAAAATTTTAAATTTAGAGAACATTGAAGAAATATGAGATCAGAGAAATCAAAGATTATTATTAAATTACATTTCTTTTGGTATCTCCTGAGATTTCTCAATTATGCATTACTTGTATTCATTCATTTATTCATTAAATACAATATTTATCTAAAACCTGCTATGACCAAGACTGGGTGAGGAACTGGAGACATAGCTATTAAAAAAATAGTATTTATATTTATAAGTGATGAAACAAAAAGAAAAAATAGAAGGTGAATCGGTAGGTAAAAAGAGACAATAGACTACCAGCCAATCTCAATGTGTGAACCTTGTTTGTATCCTGATTCAAGAAAAGACATTAAAAAGATTATCTGAAAGAGATAATTAAAAATCTGAATTCTGCCTGGATAGTTGATGATATTAAAGAGGTATTATTCATTCTTAGGTGTAATAATGACATTGTGGTTATGTTACAAAAAGGAGTCATTTCAGAAACAGACTGAAATATTTACAAATAAAATCATGTGTTGTCTGGGACTTACTTCAAAATAATGTGTGAGTGTAGGGAATGGGCAGGGTTGCAGTAGGGACAGGATTGGCCATGGGTTGATGGTTACTGAGGCTGAGCGATGGCATGTGAGGTTTTATTATTTTATTGTTTACTTTCATCTATTTTCAAAAAGTTAAAAAATCAGCCCTCCCTTTGCTGAAAAAAGAAAAAAAGAAAAGAAAAACTACAGGTTTTGTCCCTGCCTCCTGGAGCTTTCAGTTGTAGAGAGAAAGCAACACTTACTGAGAAACTAAAAGATGATGTGTGTTGTAAAATGAGAGTGCAGGGTGACATTGCAATTGAGCAAGCTATCTTGAGGTAGAGAGAGAAGGTAGTCAAAGATTTTGTTGACAGTTTAGTTAGAACTAAAATTGATAGCGCCATTGTACTCCAGTCTGTCACAGACTGAGATATTATCTCTTAAAAAAAAAATGGCTGGGCTTACTTTGGGAGGCCGAGGCAGGTGGATCACCTGAGCCCAGGAGTTCAAGATCAGCCTGACCAGCACAGTGAAACTCCATCTCTACTAAAAATAGAAAAAATTAGATGGGCGTGGCGGCACACACTTGTAATCCCAACTATTCGGCAGGCTGAGGCACGAGAATCGTTTGAATCTGGGAGGTGGTTGTTGCAGTGAGCCGAGATTGTACCACTGCACTCTAGTCTGGGCGACAGAGCAAGAATCTGTCTCAAAAAAAAAAAAAAAAAAAAAGCCTATAAACTAAAATTGAGAGATGGGTGGACTTGTGTGGGAGAGAGAAGATAGGGGCATATGCCAGACAGAAAGCAGCATGTTCAAAGGTCTGAAGCATATGTACATGTATGCAGTTTACATCCTATATAAGTCAAAATTGGATGTAAAGTTTAAAAGTTAGCTGAATATTTTGTTTACATATGTCATAGCGTTTATCTGAAGCTGAGCAGGGTATATCCACATTATTCTTTGCCATGTCATCTCCAATTACATGCAAGTAAATTCAACAAGATTTGTTCTCTGTATGAGGGACGTAAAGTTGAATAACTCATGGTCACTTAAGAACCTTACAGTCCAATGGTAGAGACAGATATATTTGTCTATACCTTAGCAAAGTAAAACATGAAAAGATCTGTACTAATGGAATGAGCTGGATACTGTGAGTGTATTTAGGAGGAGTGATTAGTTACGCCTTATTAGAACAACAAAAGGCTCAGAGAGGAGCATGCCACTAGAGCTGGGTTTTAAAAGTTAAGTAGGACTTGATTAGGTAGAGAAGGGGAAAGAGAGGCCATTCTAAGCAGAAGGAACAACGTGAGCACAGACTCAGACTCAAAAGTACATATTGTATCCAAGGACCTGCAGGTAAATGATGTGGTTAGAACACAGGCTTAAAATAAAATTAAAAATGGCCTGGCGCGGTGGCTCACGCCTCCAGAACTTTGGGAGGCCGAGGTGGGCAGATCACAAGGTCAGGAGTTCGAGACCAGCCTGGCCAAGACGGTGGCCAATATGGTGAAACCCTGTCTCTACTAAAAATACAAAAATTAGCCGGGCATGTTGGCACGTGCCTGTAGTCCCAGCTACTCGGGAGGCTGAGGCAGGAGAATCGCTTGAACCTAGGAGGTGGAGGTTTCGGTGAGCCGAGATCGCGCCACTGCACTCCAGCCTGGGCAACAGAGCGAGACTTCGTCTAAATAAATAAATAAATAAATAAATACAATTTAAAACATCTGTTCAGTGCTGTGATAAGATGTCATTTGCATGTTTATATTTTTCTTTTTTTTTTTTTGAGACAGAGTCTCGCTCTGTCGCCCAGGCTGGAGTGCAGTGGCGCGATCTCGGCTCACTGCAAACTCCGCCTCCCAGGTTCACGCCATTCTCCTGCCTCAGGCTCCCGAGTAGCTGGGACTACAGGCGCCCACCACCATGCCCAGCTAACTTTTTTGTATTTTTTTAGTAGAGACGGGGTTTCACCGTGTTAGCCAGGATGGTCTCCATCCCCTGAACTCGTGATCCGCCCACCTCGGCCTCCCAAAGTTCTGAGATTACAGGCATGAGCCACCGCGCCCGGCCATGTTTATATTTTCCAAATGCTTCACAAAGAAATAAATGCTTCCTGGCTTCCATCACAGGCATTGCAGGAAAGGAATTGTCTAACTAGATGACTACAGATAATACAAAGCAGTGAATAAAAATAGAAGGCAGTTCAGAATATGTTTCAGCTCTCGATTCTCTAAGAAATTGATGACAAGTACAACTGAGTTAACATCAAAGCATCAAACCAAGCTTTTCATAAGTGAATTCAGCCATCTTCATGGTGCCTGGGCTTCCTTGCTGGCTCCTGTCCTCCTGTTCACCTCTGGATTTGGTAGTTCCTTTAGACTTGGTCCTAATCCTTTTTCTCTTCTCATGTTACTTTTTTTCCCATGGCTTTGAATATATACTTATGACTCCATATTTAGCACCAACTCAAACCTCTCTTCTCAACCTCAGATCCAAATACCCAAATGCTTTCAAGGCATTCTTACTTAAATGCCGCACAAATGTAAGATGTCTACAGCTGTACTTGTTCTTTTCCATCAATCCTGCCTCACCTCCAGTCTTCCACATCCTAATGATGCCACCTTCTACTCGGATATTCAAGCCAGAACCTGGATATTATCCCTGACTCCATCTCCCTCATGTTACACATTCAAACTCTCACTAAGACCATTTGGTTCTACCTAAAATTTTGTCTTGAATCTCTCCATTTCTGCCTTCTTTACTGCTGCCACCCTAGTATAAACTATCATCCTCTCTTGCAACAACTTTCCAAACGGTCATCTACCTTCCACTATTGCCTATGACAATGCATTCTCTATCTTAGAAGATGAAGATTCGGTAATTCCCCTGATTAGAATCCTTTAGTGACTTCCCTCTACTCTTTGATGAAATGCAAAATCCTAACTAAGGCTAGCAGCTTCCTGAAAGATCTGCCCCTATCTCTCCATCATTTCAAATCATTTGTTGCCTGTGTTATTGTCCTATTGGTTTTTAGGGTCTTAAATGTGTCCAGAACCAGCTCACAACCTTCATGCTTGTTTTTTTGTTCTTTCCAGAAAGTTATTTTCCCCTGTCTCTTGGTTGGTTCTCTCTTTTTAGGGGAAGCTTTTGCTAGGACTTAGAAAGTAAAAATCTGTTCCATCACTCATCAAGCTGGATTAATAAACATTGATAAAACTAGCTGCAAAGTTTACGGGAAACTAGTTATCCCAAAGACATGCGATAAAGCTTCATAACAACCCCATTCTTTGAGTGATTACTGTTTTCTTACTTGCTAAGAAACTTTGTTCTTTAAAATTATATGCTATTAGAAAAGAAACGTTGTCGTTTGAAATTATATTATTATAACATAAAACATCATAGTGTCTTGGAGACTCTAAAACACTTTGACACAGAGAATCAGCCTCCATTTCCATTCCAGCCACAGAGCTTAAGAAAAGGGCTTCTGGACACAATAATCCATATCTGTCTTAACTTTCTAGTTTTCAAGGAAGCAGAACCCTGGATCCTGCCCAGACCTGATGTTGACTCCTGATTTGCTTTGAGTTCATCAAAAGCCACTTAAATGGTTTCAATTAAATCTCACCCAAACTCTACTCTTCCCCCAAATCCTGTAATGATTATCTTGTCCTTGTTTGGTGAGTGAGATGCCTCACAGTTCTGTGTGTGATCTCCCTCACTGCAATGAATCTATAAATATGACTTTGTCGAACTCTAAGTTGTTTCCTTGCGCTTGTAGACTGATTGAGGTAGGACATGTGACTCTTCTTCAAAAAGTCTTCTCTAAAGTTCCCACGACAAAATAGGTCCTCCTAATTCGTTGTATCATCAGCACCTTCTACTTTTCTTTCATAGTGTATTATATCCTTCAAGACCCCAAAGGAATTCGATACTTAAGTCAAAATATTTGGTTAAAAATATTAATCAGTTATATCTGCTCCACTTTGTCGGTAACGGGGTAAAGTGGAAAACAATCCAAATGTCCAATACTTAAAGTTTGAAGCAGGTTAAATATTCCTTACCTCCCATACTACATCTCATGATGTTTGCATGGTGCATAAAAGTTTTGTAAGCCTGTAGTAATTTGAAAGATTAATTTTTGACCAATTTGAAAAAGTTTTTAAGCAAGTTGAAGAACCTTGACAAACAAGCAAAGCGGGACTGATTAACTGAATTAGAAAGAAAAAAAACCTGAAATGGTAAAAAAAAATTATTTAACACATTCTTTTTATTGTTTAGTTTCTTATGTGTATTTTTATATATTTATTATGGTATTAAACCAAGGAATATCTTATGACAGGAAAGCAAAAACAATACAAAGGACACAGTAATTCCACCTATCTACAAGTAGTAGAACTTAACATCTTTCTTTCCTTAACACATTATCTCCCACTGAACACAACAATTTTTTTTTATTTTTTTATTTTACTTTTTATTTTATTTTATTTTTTTTTTGAGACGGAGTCTCGCTTTGTTGCCCAGGCTGGAGTGCAGTGGCGCCATCTCAGCTCACTGCAAGCTCCACCTCCAGGGTTCATGCCATTCTCCTGCCTCAGCCTCCCAAGTAGCTGGGACTGCAGGTGCCTGCCACCACGCCCAGCTAGTTTTTTGTATTTTTAGTAGAGATGGAGTTTCACCGTGTTAGCCAGGATGGTCTCGATCTCCTGACCTCGTGATCTGTGCGCCTCAGCCTCCCGAAGTGCTGGGATTACAGGCATGAGCCACCGTGCCCAGCCCAACCATTTTTTATTTTAAACAGTCTTGTCATTGAAGCTTTAATATTATTAATTTCTAAGCTCCAAAACCTGAGGGAGGAAAGGGAAGGCTGAAGTCTCAAGAAAGAGCAAAGTAGTGAGATGACTGAGATGCAACTTCCTACCTCACAAGTTTGTCTTGGGTTAATTCTAAGTCCTAAAAACTACCAAGTATCCACTCAGTAAATAGCTGTTGAATAAATGAATGAACAGATGTCTCAATAAGCAAAATTGGTTTAATATGTCTATTTAGTGTTCAATTTCTCATAAGGATGTTATTTCCATGTTTAGGATAAAAATTCAAAATAGAGTTTTCAGCTCCTTACATTAGCTAAGGTGGGTGTACATTTATCTCCTGCCTGGTACCTTTCCTTTCTGACAAGTTTCTAGTCTGCTGTATTACACTATCTAAAACAGCCACTCTGAGCTGACTAGCACCTTATCACTTTAGACTTTCCTCACCTCCTCTGGCCCGGCACATCTAATATTTTGTTTAATCCTAAGTACTCCAGTTATTGCTCATGTCAAGAACAGACACATTATCACTGGAATTCAGGCTGAGGAAGAAACTCCACTGAAGCCTTCAGTCTCAACATTAAGAATCAAGGAAGGCCTTTATTTATTTATTTTTCAAATACCAGCCATCCTTCATCTGCACCCCAAATCATCAAATGTTTTTATCAACTCTCTGTAAAAATTTTGAATTTCTTAAAAAACTGAAACAGAGATGATAAATACAAGTAGCCAGTTTTAAGTACCACTGCTTCTTACTTCAAAGAATTTCCTCTAGATTTGCTATTGTTTGCAAAATATATAGCGGTGGCTCACGCCTGTAATCCCAACACTTTGGGAGGCCAAGGTGGGTGGATCACGAGGTCAGGAGATCGAAGCCATCCTGGCTAACACAGTGAAACCCCGTCTCTACTAAAAATACAAAAAATTAGCTGGGCGTGGTGGCACGTGCCTGTAGTCCCAGCTACTCGGGCGGCTGAGGCAGGAGAATCACTTGAACCTGGGAGGCAAAGGTTGCAGTGAGCCAAGATCGTGCCACTTCACTGCAGCCTGGGTGACAGAGTGAGACTCCATCTCAAAAAATAAATAAATAAAATAAATATATATAAAACATATATTAAATATTCCAGTTACAAAAATAACAATTACCAAAAACTCCAACAAATAATACCTGTGCCTAATATACAGTGTGGCAATGTTCATTATGAAGTTTTAATACAGAGAACTTTTTTTCAGAATTTTTAAGAGAATAAATTTTTCTTTTAAGAATACCTAAGCCTTATGAACATCTGATGTTCAAATACCCAGCAATGGCTGGTCGTCTTTTGCTTGCCTAAACTCCATCTGAACAATGGCAAAGCTCTGCTGAACCAACCAACATAAGGAATTGCACATCCCCACATTTCTTTCCATCTTTTTCTTTTCTGTCAGACTTTCACTCTTTTGCTGATAGTAAGTACCCTTAATCTATTAAAAGAAATACAAAAATCACTTCTGACTTGCCTATTCTGTTTCATTATATGCATATTTACATCACCACTGTATGACAAATTATTTCACCTCATAGACCCTGTTTTCTGATCTGTAAAAGTGGTTAATGGTACTTACCTAAAAGGTTGTAAAATTTTTTAAAATAAAGTATGTAAAGCTTTCAGTGCAATGCCTTGTATTTGGCAAGTGCATTGTAAATGGGAGTATTATCTACATCAACATCTTCATCAAGATTACAATACTGCTGTGACTCATTCCTGATTAAGGTCATGCATTACTTAACAAGGATATAGTCTGAAAAATTCATCATGAGGTGATTCCATCGTTGTGCAAACATCATACTGTGCACTTACACAAACAGAGATGGTATAGTCTACAACACATCTAGGCTATATATGGCATTGTCTATTGTTCCTAGGCTGCAAACCTGGACAGCCTATTATTGTACTGAATACTGTAAGCAGTTGTAACATAATGGTCAATATTTGTGTACCTAAATGTAGAAAAGGTACAGTAAAAGTAAACTATAGAAGATATAAAGTGGTACACTTAGGCCAGGCACAGTGGCTCATGCCTGTAATCCCAGCACTTTGGGAGGCAGAGGCAGGAGGATCTCTTGAGCCCAGGAGTTCAAGACCAGCCTGGGCAACATGATGAAACCCTGTCTGTACCAAAAAAAAAATAACAAAAAACAAAAATTAGCTGGGTGTGGTGGTGTGTGCCTGTGGTCCCAGCTACTTAGGAGGCTGAGGTGCAAGGATTGCTTGAGCCCAGGAGGTGGAGGCTACAGTGAGGTTTTTTCTTTTTCATTTTCTTTTCTTTTTTTTTTTTTTTTTTGGTTTTTTTTTTTTTGAGACGGAGTCTCGCTCTGTCGCCCAGGCTGGAGTGCAGTGGCGGGATCTCTGCTCACTGCAAGCTCCGCCTCCCGGGTTCAAGCAGTTCTCATGCCTCAGCCTCTCGAGCAGCTTAGGACACAGGAGTGTGCCACCATGCCTGGCTAATTTTTGCATTTTTAATAGAGACAGAGTTTCACCATGTGGGCCAGACTGGTCTCAAACTCCTAGCCTCAAGTGATCTGCCTGCCTCAGCCTCCCTAATTGCTGGGATTACAGGTATGAGCCACTGCACACAGCCTATAAGCTTTCTTCTATTTAAAAATTTTTATTTATTTTTTACTTTCAAACTTTTTTGTTTAAAAATGAAGACATAGCCAGGTGCTATGGTGCAAGCCTATAATCCCAGCTACTCAGAAGGCTGAGGTGGGAGGATTGTCCAAGGCCAGGAGTTCGAGGCTGCAGTGCAATATGATTGCACCTGTGAACAGCCACTGCACTCCAGCGTGGGCCAACATAGTGAGGCCTAGTCTCAAAAAAAAAAAAACAAAAAACAAAAAGACATAAACACACATTACACATGAGACTAGGCCTACACAGGGCCAGGGTCTTCAATATCACTGTCTTTCACTTCCCTATCTTCTCCCATTGGAAGGTCTTCAGGAGCAGTAACATGCATGGAGCTGCCATCTCCTATGGTAACTATGCCTTATCTGGAACACCTCCTGAAGGACTGTTTTGCAGTTAACTTTTTTTTAAGTATAAAAAAGACACTCTAAAATAATAAGACAAGTATAATATAGCAAGTACATAAACCCATAACGCAGTCGTTTATTATCATTATCAAGTACCATGTACTGTACATATTGTATGTACTATACTTTTATAGGACTGGCAGCACAGTAGGTTCGTTTACACCAGCATCATCACAAATATGTAAGTAATGTGTTGTACCATGATCAGCTCTGACATATCTGGGCAATAAAAATTTTTCAGCTCCACTGTAATCTTAAGGAACTACCACTGTATATGAAGTTTGTCATTGACCAAAAGGTCATTATGTGGTGTGTGACTGTAATATAAAAATAGCTATTGTGATAAAATTATTTTAAGGGAGGGAGACAATGGGTTGGGAAGTAAAATTAGTCATTTTGTTAGTTTTTTATTGCTGCTGTAACAGATTATGACAAACTTAAACATTAAAATAACACAGATGGGCCAGAAACTGTGACTCTCACACTTATAAGCCCAGCACTTTGGGAGGCTGAGGCAGGAGGATTGCTTGAGCCCAGGAGTTGGAGACCAGGGTGGGCAACATAGTGAGACCCCATCTCTACAAAAAATAAAAAACAAAATTAGCCAGGTGTGGTGGCACATGTCTGTAGCTCCACCTACTCAGGAGGCTGAGGCAGGAGGATCATTTGAGCCTGGGAGGTTGAGGCTGTAGTGAGCCCAGACCATGCCACTGCACTCTAGCCTGAGCAACAGAGCAAGACCTGTCCCTAAAAAAATAAAAATAAAAAAAAACAACACAGATGTATTGTTGTATAGATCTGGAGATCAGAAGTTTCAAATGGGTTGGCAAGGCTGCTTTCCTTCTGGAGGCTCTAGGAGGAGAATCCATTTCCCTGTCTGTCTCAGCTTCTAGAGGCTGCCCACATTCCTTGGATCTAGCCCCCGCATCACTCTGACCTCTACTTCATCACATCACCTTCTCTCCCTTTGTCTCACATTTCCTTTTTTATAAAGATCCTTGTGATTACATTGGGGACATCAGATAACCCAGGATAATCTCCCAATTTCAAGATCCTTAACTTAATCACATTTGCAAATTCTCTTTTGCCATATAACGTAACAGTGATAGGTTCTGAGGATTTGCATATGGAAATAATGGAGGCCATTATTTAGTTTAACACAGTCATTAAAAAAAGAAATTGGGGCATTTAACCTTCTAGAAACTGAATTGAAATTTCTCCATAATCAATAGAAAACTTTCTATTTTCTCAACACTAGTGAAACCTGCTTTTCTTTGGTGACACCAGTTGATAAAAATAAAACTATTTCTGATTCAATATGTTGCTTTCCCCTTTGGTTATCAGTAGTTTAATTGAATTATTGACTACAGTTTTATGGCAAATGTGAATTCTGGGTTGAACAAACTAAATTGAGATGCAAATACCAATTTGTAACATTGATCCTGTGGGTGAATAATTTCATAGTCCCAACAAATGTACTTATGTTTACCAACTTGCAATACAAGGTCTTTTTAAAAGTAATTAATTTATTTTTATTTTTATTTTTTTAAAGACAGGGTCTCATTCTGTCTTGCAGGCTGTTGTACAGTGGCCTGATTATAGCTCACTGTAGCCTCGAAATTCTGGGCTGAAATGATCCTCCTGCCTCAGCCTCCAAAGTAGCTGAGACTACAGGTATGTGTCACCACACCCAGCTAAATTTTATATATTTTTTCTAGAGACAAGGGTATGTAGCCCAGGTATTTGACCCTCCAAATCTGATGTTGAAATTGGATACCCAGTGTTGGAGGTGGGGCCTAATGGAAGGTATTTGGCTCATGGGGCAGATCCCTCATGAATAGATTAATGTTCTCCCTGGGTTGCAGGTGAGTGAGTTTTTGGTCTCTTAGTTCCTGTGAGAGCTAGGTTTTACAGGATTTTTTTTTTTTTAGGCTGGTCTTGAACTCTTGGGCTGAAGAGATCCTCCCACCTCAGCCTCCCAAGGTGTTGAGATTACAAGCATGAGCCACCTCACCTGGCCAAGAGCTAGTTGTTAAAAGAGCCTAGCACTACCCTCCTCTTTCTTGTTTCCTCTCTCACCATGTGATCTCCACACACATTGGCTTGCCTTCCCTTTCTGACATGAGCGGAAGCAGCCTGAGGCCCTCACCAGATGTGGATGCCAGTGCCATGCTTCTTGTACAATCTGCAGAATCATTAGCTAAATACACCTCTTTTCTTTATAAATTACCCAGCCTTGGGTATTCCTTTATAGCAACACAAACAGAGAAAGACATATGCAATTTGCCATTTTAATCATTTTTAACTGTACAATTTGGTGGTATTAATTATATTTACAATGTTGTACAACCGTTACCACCATCTATTACCAAAACCCTTTCGTCACCCCAAATAGAAACTGTGCTTATTCAGCAAAAACTCCCACTTTCCTCTCCTTCCAGCCTCTGGTAACCTCTGGTAACTTCTAATCTACCTCCTGTCTCTATGAATTTGCCTATTGTAAATATTTCACATAATGGTATCATACACTATCTTTTTGTGTCTAGCTTATTTCACTTAGCATAATGTTTTCAAGGTTCATCCATCTTATAGCATGTATCAGTATTCCATTCTTCTTTTCTATGGCTGAATAATAATTGTATGTATATACTGCATCTTGTTTATCCATTTATCTTTTTGTTTGTTTGTTTGTTTTTTAAAGACAGGGTTTTACCATGTTGGCCAAGCTAGTCTCGAACTCCTGAACTCAGGTGATCCGACCACCTTGGCCTTGGAAAGTACTGGGATTACAGGCGTGAGCCATCGTGCCTGGCCTATCCATTTATCTTTTGATAGACATTTTGGTTGTTTCTACCTTTTGTCTATTGTGAATAATGCTGCTATGAACATTAGTGTACAAGTCACTGTTTAAGTTGTTGTTTTCAATTCTTTTGGGTATTGTATTAGGCCATTCTTGCATTGGTATAAAGAAATACCTGACACTGGGTAAGTTCCAAAGAAAAAAGGGTTTAGTTGCCTCACATTTCTGCAGGCTGTACAGGAAGCATAGCAGCATCTGCTTCCGGGGAGGCTTCAGGAAGCTTCCAATCATGATGGAAGGCAAAGTGGGTGCATGCATGTCACATGGCAAAAGCCAGAGCAAGAGAGGAAGTGGGGAGGTGCTGCACACTTTTAAACAATCAAATCTTGTGAGAACTCACAATCTTGATGACAGCTAGAGATGGTGAAGCCATTCATGAGAAACCACTCCCATGATCCAATCACCTCCCACCAGGCCCCAACTCTAACACTGGAGATTAATTATATTTCAACATGAGATTTGCATAGGAACAAACAGTCAAACTATATCAGGTATATACTTAAGAGTAGAATTACTGGGTGATAATTCTGTTTTACGTTTTGAGGAATTGCCAAACTATCTTCCTCAGCAGTTAAACCATTTACATTCCCACCAGCAGTATACTAGGTTTCCAATTTCTCCACATGTTCAACAACACTAGTTATTTTTTCTTCTAATTATAGCCATTCTAGTAGGTACAAAGTGGTATCTCATTGTGGTTTTAGCATCTTTTGAGTTGCTTATTGACCATTTACATGTCTTTTTTTTAGAGAAGTGTCTAAGTCTTTTGTCCATTAAAAAAATTGAGTTATTTATCTTTTATTTGTTGAGTTGTAGGATTCTTTATGCGTTCAATTCTTTTGGGTATTGTATTAGGCCATTCTTGCATTGCCATAAAGAAATGCCTGAGTATATTAGTTTTTTGTCAGATATATGATTTGCAAACATTTTCTCCAATTTTTTGTGTTATCTTTTCACTCTCTTTATAGTGTCACTTGATACACAATTTTGATGAAGTCCAATTTATCAGTTGTTTCATCACTTGTACTTTTGATGTTATATTTAAGAAACCGTTGTCAAACCCAAGGTCATGAAGATTTTTCAGTATGTTTTCCTCTAAGAGTTTTATAGCATTTAATATTTAAGTGTTTTATAGCATTAAATTTTGGTCTTTGATCCATTTTGAGTTAATTTTTGTACATTGTGTAAAAGTATAGGTCCAACTTCATTCTTTTGCTTGTGGATATCTAGTTTCCCCAACACCATTTGTTAAAGAGATTGTCCTTTTCCCCATTGAGTGGTCCTGGAACCCTTGCTGAAAATTAATTACCCATAGATGTGAGTGTTAGTTCTGGCCTCTCGATTCTATTCCATTGGTCTATATTGTCTATCTCTGTGCCAAGTCCATGCTATTTCAATTACTATAGCTATGTAGTAAATTTTAATATCAGAAAATGTGATCCTACAACTTTGTTCCTCTTCAGATTATTTTGGCTATTTTGGGTTCCTTGAAATTTTATATGAATTTTAGAATAGGTTTTTCCATTTCTGCCAAAAGCGCTGTTGGGATTTTAATAGCATGATTACATTGACTCTACATATCATTTTGAGTAGCGTTGTCATTTTAACAATATTAAGTCTTCCAACTTATGAACACAGGATCTCTTTCCATTTATTTAAGTCTACTTTAATTTCTTTCCAGAATGCTTTGTAGTTTTCAGTGTACAAGTCTTCTGCCTTCTTGGTTAAATTGATTTCTAAATATTTTATTCTTTTGGGTACTACTGTAAATAAAAAATTCTTAATTTCCTTTTCAGATCTTTTACTGCTAGTGTGTAGAAACACGACTGATTTTTGTGTGTTGATTTTGTATTCTGAAGCTTTGCTAAATTTGTTTATTAGCTTTAAGAGGCTATTTTTGGTATTCTTTAGGGCTTTCTACACTTATATCACTTGCAAATAGAGATAGTTTTACTTCTTCCTTTCTAATTTGGATTTATTTTATTTCTTTTTCTTGCCTTATGGGTCTGGCTAGAACTGCCAATACTATGTTGAATAGAAGTGGCAAACACAGGCATCCATGGCTTCTGATTTTAGTGGAAAAGCTTGAAATTTTTCCCCATTGAGAATGATGTCAGTCGTGAGTTTTTAATACATGGTCTTTATCATGTTGAGACAGTTCCTTTCTATTCCTGGTTTGTTGAACAGTTCTATCATAAAGGAGGAATGGATTTTCTCAAATGTTCTTCTATATCAATTGAGATGATCATGAGTTTTTCACTCCTTCATTCTATTACTTGGTGTATTACATCGACTGATTTTCATATGTTAAACCATTCTTATATTTCTGGGACAAATCTCAGTTGGTCATAGTGTAAAATTCTTTTAAGGGCTGCTGAATTTAATTTCCTAGTATTTTGTTGGGGATTTTTGTATCTATAATGCATTCATAGGGGACATTTGGCTATAGTTTTCTTGTATTGTCTGTCTAGCTTTGGTATCAGGGTAATGTTGGCTTCATAGAATGACTCAGAAAGGGTTCTGTTTCTCAACTTTTTGGAGGAGTTCGAGAAGGATTAGTGTTAATTCGTTTCTAAACGTTTGGTAGAATTCACCAGCGAAGTCATCAGTTCCTGGGCGTTTCTTTGTTAGGAGAGTTTTGGTTGCTGATTCAACCAAAATTGAATATCATTACTTTTTATAGATCTATTCAGATTTATTCTTTCTTCTTGAGTCAACTTTGTTGGTTTGTGTGTTTCTAGGAATTTGTCTATTTCATCTAGGTTATCCAATTTTTTGACATATAGCTCTTATACGAATTCTCTTACAACCCTTTTTATTCCTATAAATCAGTAGTAGTGTTTTTCATTTCTGATTTTAGTAGTTGAGTATTCTTTTTCCTTAATCTAGTTAAAGCTTTGTCAACTTTGTTGATCTCTTCAAAGAACTAATTTGTTGTTTCATTGATTCTATTGTTTTTCTATTCTCTATTTCATTTATTTTTGCTCTAATCCTTATTATTTCCTTCCTCTTTATGGCTTCAAACTCAATTGAACATAAAGTATTAAGAAATTTGATTTTTTTCTCAAATGTCTAAGATGTAAGAATAAATATATCTAGAGTCATCAAAAAGCAGCCTGTTTGTCAGATTTACTGTTTAATCCATGTAAACAGCTTTCATATAATTCATGATAGAATATCACTATGTGCTTTGGAAGACACTGAGGAAAGACAAAAGGTCATTGGGCAGAACCACCCTAGATTGAATGTTAAGGCCATCTTCTAGTTTGCAGGACTTGTGGTAGACAGACAGAATAATATCCTGGACCTCTTGGGTGTATACAGGACAAACTGAAATAAACTCTCATTTTTAGATCATAATGTCATCATGAAACATATCAATTTGGTCTATTTCTGAAGAAAACAAGCACAATGATAAAGTTTGAATGTTTGTCTCCTCCAAATCTCATGTTGACATTTGATCCCCAATGTTGGAGGTGGGGCCCACTGGGAGGTGTTTTGGTTGTGGGGGCAGATCCTTCATGAATGGCTTGGTGCTGTCTTCACGGGATTAAGTTCTCACTCCTACTTCCCATGAGATCTTATTGTTAAAAAGAATCTGATACCTTCCTCCCCTCTCTTGCTCTCTTCCTCCCTGATCATGTGACACACGGGTTCCCCTTTGCCTTCCACCATGATGGAGGCTTCCTGAGGCCCTCAACAGAAGCAGATGCTGGCGCCATGCTTCTTGTACAGCCTGCAGAATTGTGTGAGCCAAATAAACCTCTTTTCCTTATATATTACCCAGCCTCAGGTATTTGTTTATAGCAATAAAAACAGACTGAGACACATGATGAAGACCCTTTGATATCCTATAAATATTGATATCTCTCCCTGAGAGAAGAGCATGAATCTAAGTGATGCCATTACTGTAATGTGAATTCCACAACTCTCCTCAAAGATGTGGCCCATATGTTCCTAATAATGGCTTTCTAAGAATCTGTTCTGAAGGGGTACCTTCTCTCTGATTTTCATTTGCATTTCCTGCTTAGCTTACACACTTCACCTTGCCTACCCACCTGTCCTGACCCCAATAACCTCCATCATCAGACATCTCATCTTACCTACCTACTTTCTACTTTTCCCAGTCCTTCCCGTGCTTCATAAACCATGATCATGAGCTAGAGACACAAGGTCATAGCTAAGGAGTTGGGATCAGAAAATCGCCTTCTGTGATTTTCCATTATTCTCAATACATAACTTCAACAAAATCAAGAAAAGCATGAAAGGACATCCTAAGGGGTCAGGTGAGGTTGCAGTGGGGTTAATCGGTCAATAGTTTCTTTATGCCAATTAGGATTTCTGCAGAAAACAATGAAACACTGGTTTAAACAGTAAAAATATTTTAATTCCTTACAGAAGCCCATGGAACATACACTCCAGGTTTAATTCATCAGCTGAATAGCATCATCAATGACTTAGGTTCTTTCCACTTTCTGCTTGTCATCTAACTGTGTTGGCTTTATTTTCAAGCTAGCTCCTCCCTGGTTGCAAGATAATTGCAGCAGGTTTAGTTATCATATTCGGACATGCTAACACCCAGGGTAGTGATCCCTTCCTTGCATTTCTTTCTCATTTTAAGAACAAAGTGTTTAAAAAATTATACTTAAAATTATTGGCATCTCTGTCAATTGAAAGATGTCAATCTCTTTCATTTTTCCTAATCACTAATAACATCTACTAAAAACAAAATGTCTGTGTAAATAATTTATTTGAATAAAATTAAAGTTGTTGAGTGAGCTCGGCTTTTGAGGAGTGGGAAAGGAGGGGTGCATAGATTAGTGGAAGATGAGAAGCTAGTGGGGCTCAAGTCCAGCAGGAGCAGAAGTTTGGAGCCAGGACTTCCTAGCCTCTCAGGGTTTTTTTTTTAACTTCCTTACCTGAAATGATTTGTGCTATACAACTTGTCCTGGCTAAACTTTCTTAATCTCAACTGTTTCATTTAATCAATAACAACTACTGTGCCACCTTCATAATATCAATTTTCAGCATTTCATTTACTGAATATCATTTCCTTTCCTTCCAGACTATTTTACTGTGTCAAATTCAATATTCCTTTGACTCAATAGGATCTCCAATCCAGTGACCCCATTACTTGTTTGCTTATTAGGACAAGAAAAACAAACTTTCCCAGAAACTCCCCAGTAGACTGCTCCTCATATCTCATTGGCTAGAACTGAGTTGCGTGCCCATTCCTAAAACAAAACTGGCAAGAAAGATAGTTACCAAGATTGGTTCAGACCAAATCAGGATTTTTTCCTGAGGAGAGGATAAAGTGAGCTTCCCGGGAGGCAAATATTTACACATTCCAAAGATTCCAAAGAAAAAAAGAGAATAAATACTGGGTCGTTAACTAATAGTAAGTGGTACGGTATTACAGGTAAAATTTATCCTTTTAGCCCTAGCAACAAGTGACACCTTCTGAAGCCATTATTCATTTGTCAGGAATAGGGCAAGTATTAGGAAAAGAAACACAAAAATAAACTCTGTTTCCATTTATTGCATTCTAGCACTGGTTCTACCAAATATTTGTTGGATGACTTTAGGTAAAGCATCTAGCCTCTCTGTCTTGATTGCCACATCCACAATATGAGATAAATATTATTCTGCATACTTCCTGGGAGAGCTGGGAAGATAAAGTCAGATCATTATACCACATAAAGCAAAGCAATAACACTTCCATATTTTAGCTTCCCACACTGCCTATCTGTCCTATTTTCATTTATTCATTTATACTTTTCAACAAACAGTTGCTAGTAGTTTGCTTAATGTAAGATATGGGATGAATATTTTCATGATGGCCCCTGCATCTAAGTTATCATTTAGCAGTACCTGCCTTATCTCTTGTACCGAATCAGATTAGACAGCATAGGAAGAATGAAAAGGTGAGGTGGGATAATAAGGAATGTTGTTTGTGGAAACATAATGGTTGCTTCAATTTGAGTGTAAACTGTCCTTTTTACTGAAGCAATTGCAACCAAGTGTGTGAGTTCACAGGTGCCTACCTTGCTTTTTTGGCTTAGGTATTGTTTGGGTTTTAATACTGACTGATATATAATACAGACAAATCAACTCAATCAAAGAAACCAACTCAATCAAAGAAAGATGGGTCTACATACAACAAAACTGAACAAAATCTGCAAGAAGAGTGATTCATACATGGGCTATTGAGGCAACATGAAATGGACATTAATTGACTAAGTAAAAAACAGATTTCTTGAAGAATTAATAAAGAACTTTTGTTTTGGAAGTTCTCTATTGTTTAAAATTAGCCAGATGTGGTGGCCTGCACCTACAGTCCCAGCTACTCAGGAGGCTGAGGTGGAAGGATCACTTGAGCCCAAGAGGCGGAGGTTGCAGTGAGCTGAGACTGTGCCGCTGCACTACAGACAGCCTCCTGCGTGACAGAGCCAGACCCTGTCTCAAAACGTGGGGGGGAAGAAAGTTCTCTATTGTTTGAAATAATAAGGAAACATTAAAGGCTCTAAAGTCAGCTAACCAATAGTCCTAAAAATAGAATGGCTCAAAAAGATTGTCCAATTTTGGAAAACTAACATTTCAAAAAGTTGTTTCACTTTTTATGAATCCTAAGATTTCCATATCCTAGAAAACTAACATCTCAGAAAAAAAAAAAAGATGGTAAAACACAATTGCCATCATCTATGCCTGTTCTGTAAAAATACAGAGAAGAAGAGAGTGTTTGGTTTTTTTAACCAGGATTTGGAAAGCCATTATTTATCTCTGTGATAGAATAACAATATGTTTTGGATGGAGGGTAATTCTAGGGGAAATTATATTTCTGAACAACAGTGTTGGTTTGTGCAGGAAAATCACCAAAGAACATGACTAGAAAGTGTATAGCTACAGTTTCCCTCTTTTAAATGGGAATAGCAAAACATATAAAGAATATTGATAGGCCGGGTGCAGTGGCTCACGCCTGTAATCCCAGCACTTTGGGAGGCCGAGGCGGGCAGATCAAGAGGTCAGGAGATCGAGACCATCATGGCTAACACGGTGAAACCCCGTCTCTACTAAAAAATACAAAAAATTACCCAGGCGTGGTGGTGGGCGCCTGTAGTCCCAGCTACTCGGGAGGCTGAGGCAGGCAAATGGTGTGAATCCGGGAGGCGGAGCTTGCAGTGAGCCGAGATCGCGCCACTGCACTCCAGCCTGGGTGACAGAGCGAGAGACTCTGTCTCAAAAAAAAAAAAAAAAAAAAAAAAGAGTATTGATAGTTTAAACCTACTACAATTTTGCATCTAGTTTCTCAAGTAGTTCTGTGGATTTAGAACCAACATTTGCTGAGGGGAAAGAATTACCAACATCAAAGTCCTAGGATGTGTCAGGGCACCAGAAGAGAAGTTTTGTCACTGTAAAATAACTCTCTTGGCAGAGCATGATAGAGACTGTAAACAGCAGGTTACTTCAATGGTTATGTGCGATTCAGTGAAGATCTCTACATTAATTGAAGCACAACTCAAGCAATTCAATGTAGCTCTGATATGCTGGAGAACAATCTAGCAGTTAGCTATCAGCGGTGGTGTGGTTCCTTTTAAGCAAAGGTAGCTTGTAGTCTTCAGACTTGTGACCTGTGCAGCCTCCACATTCAAGTGAGGTTAAAGGGACTGCTGTTGGAACATGGATCACTCCAGGCCTATCTGTACACATGGACCCCTCTTCTGTTGGCTTCCACTGCAACAAAAAGCCAATAAACACTAAATCAACATCTGGCAACTGTTAAAAGAGGAATGATGCAACAGCAGGGCAGAAAGATAAGAAAGCTCAAACTTTCCTGGCATAGGCACAAAGTTCGTTGCTTAATGTAGTTATGAGATAATAAATATCTATGAAAAACTATTTGTCAGTTTATTTAAGAGAGACGTGATAATAAGAAACCCTTTAATTCTGCTTAATAAAAGCAACTGATATTTATTTGGGGGCAGAAACTATATAAAGTCTTTATATAAGCTGTTTCGTTTAATCCTCTCAACAGTCTCATGGCTAGGTATTATTATCCCCACTTTACAATGAAAAAGAATGGTGGCAAAATAATTTAATTTTTTAAATATTTCACAGGTAATAAGAGATGAAGCTGGAATCTGAAAACCAGAAAGTCTAACTTCTGAGACCATGTTCTTAGTATTGTATATGCTTACATAGAGAGCCTTGCTGTTTCCCTACAGAATTTAGCTGTTTCCTTTCCTTTATTGTTTCATCCCCAGAAAACTATCTTAGTAACCTCTTTAAAAGTAAAGTAGATGGCTGTTAACTTAAAATACTATATATGACACCATGTAATCTTTTTTTTTCTTTTTGAGATGGAGTTTTACTCTTGTTGCCCAGGCTGGAGTGCAATGGCGTGATCTCAGCTTACTGCAACCTCCACCTCCCAAGTTCAAGCAATTCTCCTGCCTCAGCCTCCCAAGTAGCTGGTATTACAGGCGTCCACCACCACACCCAGCTAATTTTTTTGTACTTTTAGTAGAGATGGGGTTTCAACATGTTGGCCAGGCTGGTCTCGAACTCCTGACCTCAGGTGATCCACGCACCTCAGCTTCCCGAAGTGCTGAGATTACAGGCATGAGCCACTGTGCCTGGCTGACACCATGCAATCTTAAAAGCTGAATGACTATTTTTGAAATCCTATGGATAATCTGGCAAAAATAATTGAGCTTATCCTTTCGTATAGTGGATTGATTAGAAATGAAGTTCTACTCAAGACCCATTAATGTAGGACCATCAAGTTAAACTTTTTTTCTTTTCCACTCTGAAAAAATACAACAGATAATGTTTGCTTCTAAATAAAATTGCAGAACCACTAGCAATTCATTCTCAGTTGGATCTCCAGAGCTGACCATACAAACTTCTACTTGTTTCTCCCATTCCTCTTAGTTGTCAATCCTTTCCCATTACTTTCCCATTTCTCTCAGTTGCAAATCCAAACCATTTTCACATTTCAAGACTTAATTCCTATTCCCCCATCTTTCAAACTTGTCTCCTATGTTACTGTGGAAACTGAGGCCATCAGACTTGAATTCTATGAACTCTCTCCTGCCAGATCTACAAATTTATCCCCATGTTCACCCATCCTTCTAACATTCTCTTAGAAGATAAGGTCTCATCTCCTTCTGGCCCAAATCAAATTCTCTACCTGTGTTTTTGGTTCTGTCCTCTCCCATCTCTGCAAGGACCTTGAACCATTAATTTTCCTTTCTGCCTCTTGTATTGTGTTAGATTTGCCAAATATATTGCTCCCATACCCACAATTTCTTATGAGGGGAGGTGATGTTCCCATGATCTCTGCAAAGGAATAGCCATGTTTCGCACTATGCAAACTTCTCTGTACTACATGATTGGACCAAGTGGGCACCTATGTCAAAGGGCATCCAATTTACAGAGTGCCCAGATAATTCAGACATGGTCTGGCATGAAATGAGGAGCACGGCCTGTGACCTTTTTAAATTTTTTCAAAGGCTGCTTAGTGCTCTAAGAACAAGATATCCATTTTAAGTGAAATGAGTGGATTTTTATTATTAGAAAAGTTATGAAATGATCTTTGATGCATGTGTTGCCTGTGAAAGTCATTCACTTTAATGTTCAGTGGGAGTAAGTGTAATCCATGTAATTGCTAGAAAGCTAGGCATCTTAGCACAGGAATAATCACACTGAACATTAGTAATGATAAAAATATCATTTATAGCGGCCTATCATATGGATTTTAAATACATCATCTCTGTCATGATAATCCCATGATATAGGTTCTAATATTACCAATTTTCAGATAAAAAAAAAAAACTAAGGCCCAGAGAACTTGGGTCACTCAATTAATAAGCAGCAGAGCTAATTAGAGTCTGGGTCCAAAGCTTAAGCACTCTTCGTCTTCTTTATATTTGGCTTTTTCCTAGCCAAAAACATGGAGGCATTGCTTACTTTTACTTTATCATTGTTATCTTGGCATAACATCAAAATAATTAGGAGCTGATATACCTAAGTGTATAAAACAGGATAAAATTAATTGATGAGGAATTAGATAAGGAAAATAAAATCAAACTAGGGGCAAATTTCATGTATAAAAATGTGTACTGTGCCATACATTTTGTAAGTGGAGTCTCTAAAGATTGCTTCATAAGGAAGAAGTGAATAATGACTTTGGGAACACTTGGTAACCCCTAGGACTCAAAAGATTGGGTGTGAGAAGTTATTAGTAAGCATATGTATTAGGCAAAATACAGTGAGATGAACCTGGAACAAATGCTCGCTGAATGCACTTAGAAATATTATCAGGCGACTCAGCCTATAGAGCATACGGGTTAGAATGTCTATTTTAAGAAGGAGCGGATATTTACTAAATGCTAATTTGAGCAAAGTTCTACAAAAATATCACTGACCATGAATATTCAGGCATTGACATGCTACAAAATAGCATATCGAAAAGAACATCTGTTGCCCTAAAGATGGTTTCCTGCACAGAACGTCTCCAAATTTTCAGCATTCATAGGCTGGCCCCGTTTCTTCTTGGTTAACATTTAGAGGCACGCCTAAACTTAGAGGAACACCTCTCTAAACCAAGGAGACACTTAAAGAGAAAAGGAGTAAAGATGGTGATGGGCTTATAAAGAGCAATGTAATAGTGTCTTTGAAGCAAAAGCTAACTTAATGAAAACGTGGTCCCAATTTCCTTAAATCTGGATCACCGTACGACTTCTGTAATACTTATTATTTCCCCAGCTGGCAAATAAACTGGAGTTCAAGTGGGAAAAAACAAGGTATTGTTCAGACTTATGATTTTTGGGGTCAAAGATTCTGAGCAATAACCTATTAAAAAACCCAGCTTTTGATTTGAGTATGTAAGTAAGTACATGGGAGGAACGTATGGATCTGGAGTGGTGGTAAATACAGAGCATGTTTGCTTCGCAAAGCAGATTAGCTCATACTTAATAATAGAGTAAATCTGTTGGGCCATGACTCAATGCACCCAAATTCTCTAGATTGCTATGTCTCTACTCGCTAAGCCTTCGGGAACAACAAGCACAGAACTTTTAGGGTGCTGTCTCACTGATGTCGGCGTTAGCTCTGGTAGTCCAGGTCAAGATTATACCAAAGATTCAGGACTTAAATTCCTGCAGAATGTAAGCCCCTTTCCAAGTTCTCTGCTTTACTGTATCCTGTTTATTTTCAAACTCAAATGGAAAAAAACGAAACAAAAACCTTGGGCTTCAAGAGGCATCCTGCCGCAAGGCCCAGCGATGTGAATTTTCAACAACCGTCTCAGGCAGATTTCATGCTGATGGTTCAGGCACTAAACTTTGAAAAACACAGTATCACAGAGTAGGGATGGTGATGTAAGAGTCATCTGTAAAAGCTGTGCTGTTTTGGCAGCCTGGGAGGCTAAGGTTTAGTCTAGGCGACTAAGGTTTAGTCCGGGCTGTATTCACACCCAAAACAACTAAAAAAGCGGAGGAGTCTTTGAGTCAATCCCTGAAGCTCCGGCTAAGAGGAAACTCGCCCACGCTCCAGGGCAGCGACGCCGGCTCCACCTCAGCCACGGCTGTCTCAAGCTTCTCGGGGTTTTCCGCCGGCTCCACCCGAGCCACAAGTCTACAGGACTCCTCGGAGCTTTCCGCCGGGACGCAAGACCCACCGCCAGAGGTTGGTACCTCCTAGAGAACAGCGAAGCGCATCCCGAGGGCCGCCGGCCGGAAGCGCCCTCCAGACCCGCCCCCTGCCCTCCGGAGCCGGAAGCTGGGCATCTGCAGCTGGCTCGGCGCACTCCACTGACCGTCCCGACGATGCTACGCGCGCCCGGCTGCCTCCTCCGGACCTCCGTAGCGCCTGCCGCGGCCCTGGCTGCGGCGCTGCTCTCGTCGCTTGCGCGCTGCTCTCTTCTAGAGCCGAGGGACCCGGTGGCCTCGTCGCTCAGCCCCTATTTCGGCACCAAGACTCGCTACGAGGATGTCAACCCCGTGCTATTGTCGGGCCCCGAGGCTCCGTGGCGGGACCCTGAGCTGCTGGAGGGGACCTGCACCCCGGTGCAGCTGGTCGCCCTCATTCGCCACGGCACCCGCTACCCCACGGTCAAACAGATCCGCAAGCTGAGGCAGCTGCACGGGTTGCTGCAGGCCCGCGGGTCCAGGGATGGCGGGGCTAGTAGTACCGGCAGCCGCGACCTGGGTGCAGCGCTGGCCGACTGGCCTTTGTGGTACGCGGACTGGATGGACGGGCAGCTAGTAGAGAAGGGACGGCAGGATATGCGACAGCTGGCGCTGCGTCTGGCCTCGCTCTTCCCGGCCCTTTTCAGCCGTGAGAACTACGGCCGCCTGCGGCTCATCACCAGTTCCAAGCACCGCTGCATGGATAGCAGCGCCGCCTTCCTGCAGGGGCTGTGGCAGCACTACCACCCTGGCTTGCCGCCGCCGGACGTCGCAGGTGACCCCCCGGGCGGCCCGTGTGCTGTCCCGGTCCTCCCACCCGCCCTGGATGCTCTCCCGCCTCCCCCAGACCCTGGGCTTTTCCGATGCCCCCCAGTTCTCTTTCCTCTTTTCCCAAGCCATCATCCCTCGGGCTACGTCCTCCCTGTCGAGGGATATTACAGACTTGGCTATCTCTTTTTCCCCTTACACGTATGTTCATTTATTAATTCATCAGGTGTAAATTCAGCACCTTGTACTCGCTGCCTGCTTTAGTAGAGTTGGGGATCCAACAGGAAAGGGGACAGACGAGGTCTCCCGCAATTTTTGCGCTCCCGTTCCCAAACTGAATTGCCCCTTCGAGCGCCAACCCATCCCTTCCCCCTTCCCTGGCGTCTAGTTTCACAATTGGGCGCACGTTTTAAAAAACAGAATCTAGAATTTTCTTCCTCGGGCTTTGCTTCCGATACTAGTTTTTCCTTCTTTCTTTTTTTTTTTTTTTAAACTCATCATCTTTTTCAGATGACAGTTTTAGACCTACACCCTGTTTTAGGAACCTGATCTCAAGCCTTTGTGTCCTCCTTTTTTCTTCT
Source organism: Homo sapiens (assembly GCF_000001405.40). Taxonomy (NCBI): domain Eukaryota; kingdom Metazoa; phylum Chordata; class Mammalia; order Primates; family Hominidae; genus Homo; species Homo sapiens. The sequence goes on from NC_000010.11 coordinate 87,506,127, forward strand.
GTTTTGTTCATGTTTTTACTGTAGCGTTCCCATCGTTGTAGCTGTGGTCCGTGGTCACAAGCAGTAACAACTCATTTATTCCATTAATTACACTTTTTCGAAATTTGAGAAATCATCTAGTAAGGCCCCGTTATTTCACAGGTGAAGAACCCGAGCCCAAGAGTATGCCTTCTTAATTGTCTTTCTCTAAGGTCTAGTATCCAAGTCTTCTGTTTTCCTAGAATGGTTCTTTTTCTCTTAGAAAATGTTGTAATAGTTACAAATAATAATGATAGCATACACCTCATGCCTATTGTATGCCAGGTATGCCTCACATTTATTTTACAAAATCCTTACAACCACAATCTGGAGTTGATAGTATTTTCCCCTTATCTCAAAGATGAGGAAATTGATACACGAACACATTAAATAATTTGCCCATTTTCATACAGCTAGCTGTGGACCCAGGAAATCTGATTCAGAGCTTGCTTTCTTAGCCATTATGCTATACTGCCTCCATTTGTCCAATAACATACCTAATAAGAATAAAAACATGTAACATTTTTGTACCACAGAGATGAGCAAGCATTAATAGTTTCTTGATCACTTTTAAGGCCAGAATTGAAGTGAGGATTATTGTTTAGCTTCAAAGCCCAAGTGAAAAATTAGAAGTAGGCTGGTTTGTAATTTCTTCTGTAGCTGTTGAACAGTGAAACCATCTGTAAGGGATTTCTCCACTGATTCTGTGTCATGTTATTGTGGGTAATTCAGTTAGCTGACTTGTGTCTAATTACTTGTTGAACTGTGTTTTTTTTTAAATATATACTTTTTCCATTAGCATGAGTGAAAATTCCTCATAAATCTGTTAAATTAACAGAATGGTGAAAGCAGAACATATTTTAATATAACACAATATCTATAGCGACTTCCTGGAACAAGTGAATTTTTGTTCTCAGATGGCATTGCGAAGACTGGCATTTGACTCTCAGTACAGAGCCAGGGATGAAAATACTACAGTTCAGAATAAGCCCACTCCTGACCGTTTTCAGTGTCAGATAGCAAACCCTTTGCCTAGCCACTTTATTATTCTCTATAGACAATAGTTTTGCCTATTATGTACATCTGGTCTTTTGAGGGAGTCTGCTGAATTAGATTTGTAGTTTTGTAGAAACAGAACAATGCCTTTGTTTTTGTTTAAAGACTAGCAATAATTAGATAGTAACAAGGATAAAATACCCAGATGCACTTGGGAAATTATATTTTAGTGTACACAGAAAAAAGGTGACAAAGTTCGCTTATTTTCCTAGTCAAGATATTTTCTTAAGAATTGCAATCCAGTTGACAAAGTGGGCAGAATTATCCATTTCAAGAGAAACAAACATACATACTGATTTTTTTTGCATACACATCCAAAGCCCAGATAAAACTATATTCAATTTTCTCATATTTTATGTACAAAAATGATATACTTGGTGTTCTTTTCGTGGTAAATTGTTGGAGAAATGATTGAAAAATGTGTGTTTTGAATATGACTGAAAAAAACGTAAAGGGCACACCAGTAGTTGAAGCATGATTATGAATGCTTCTCCAATACATATTTGTTGCCCAATTGGGGGCATAATGTAATTTATTAAATTTTATATAGAAAGTTATCTGGGGCTTCAGTTAAAAGATAAACCAATTCACAGGCCCAGCACAGTGAAGCACAGGAGACCCAAAACATCAGTGCGTTTTGTGCTGCTGTCAGTAGTTTTTGTCCAAAGCAGAATCTTTGTAAAGTAATACAGAGTTGGGAAGGTTAATTGAGAAAATAAAATACTCTGTTTAGACTTTGGCTTAGAGTGAAAAAATAGATTCCATATGTTGAATTCTCTCTCACCTTGTAAGTAGAAACTTTGCTGATTTTTAGTTTGCTTTCTAAAGTTTTCCGTGCCTGACAGAAACAGTACTTATTAATGTATGATGCAATTTCATTGCGTAGCATCTCTACAACACATTTAATCTTCAATCTCTATTTCTTTAGCCTTTTCTAGCTATTCTCATGCGTTACAGCCATTATAAATGGGGAATAATTTTACCCCAAGAGTTTCCTGACCAATATGTGCTTATTTCAGCTGTGCGGATTAGTAAGATGTTAGTGTTCCTTTTTCACACTTAACATTTTCAATAATTTGAAACTGTCATTTATGTCAGTGATTTACAAATACATATAAATTTTTTTCTCTTTCAGATATGGAGTTTGGACCTCCAACAGTTAATGATAAACTAATGAGATTTTTTGATCACTGTGAGAAGTTTTTAACTGAAGTAGAAAAAAATGCTACAGCTCTTTATCACGTGGAAGCCTTCAAAACTGGACCAGAAATGCAGAACATTTTAAAAAAAGTTGCAGCTACTTTGCAAGTGCCAGTAAATGATTTAAATGCAGGTAATATGTCTGTTGTCTTTTATTTGAACTTAACAGTTTAAATAATTTTGAACTGTGAAAATGAAAACATAAGGAAACAGTCTTTTTTAAAGACCCATAATTGATCTACATTAAGAAAATAATATGTTCTGGGTCAAAAAAATTGTATACCTTGTGCTTACTATTTACCATTTTTAGATTCATATTCTTCTTTGAGTGTTATTTAAATTACTGTACAAGATTCTAGTTATATTCTGGAGTTTTTTTGAGGGCAGAGTAATATAAAGCCTCAACTGTAGGCATTATTTTTAAAACAAATTATCTTTTCTGAATTTCCCCCTGATAAAGTGATACAAATGGAAAAATCATATAAATTCTTTAGCTTTTGAAGCAGTTCAAAAGTACCTGTTAATGTGTAAGAGGGGTAAGTTTTAGAAAGTGAAAAGCAAAGTACTATGATGTTTTTTGAGTTATATGTAGCAATGCTGAGAAGATGAGCAGTCATGTCTATCATAAGTTATTGCAGTGGATGGGCTGACTATGCAACTTACCATCCAAACTGGTGGGACACTTTCGAAAGTGAAAGGGAACACTATTAATAATTTTGCCAGGAAAGCAGGTGGGAAACCATGGCACATGGTCACCTAGCAATGGGAGATTAAGAAAATAAGATTTTTTTCTGTTTTCTAGGAATTTATGTTCCATAGGGTAGATGTTGACAAAGATACATGCAAAGATTGTAGATTACATTATACTCTGAATTAATTTCCAAAAGACTGGAAGTAGATGTTGGGGAAAAAATAGATTAGAATTTATCAGTCACAGGGCCTGGATGCTTTATAAGGATCAAAAAGAAGATGCCTAGACTAGCATTTGAAATTGAATTTTTTCTCTCTCTCCAAACTGGCAGTACATTGGCATCGCCTGTGGAGCTTTAAAAATTATTTACTTTATTGGGAAATAATTCAAACACGAAGATAACAAAAAAGGCTAATGTGGTGAACATCCCTATACCCACAACTTGGTTTTACTAAATTTTAACTTTGTGCTTCAGTTACTTGCCTTAAATAAATTGAGGTCTACTGGTCCCTTTCCTGGATCCCATTCTTCTTCCTTTCTCACCAGTGGTAATTGTTGTCATGAATTGAGCATTTATATTATCCCATGCCAGTTTTATACATAAATGGGATATTGTTTTGCAGATTTTAAAACTTTTAAGAGTGGTATCAAAGTTTATACCAGTCCAAAATTCTATTTTTATGCAACTTTTTGTTTTTGATGTAATGTTTGCAATTCTAGTCCTACATTTTAAATGTATGTATTTCATTCTACATCTATACCAATATCTAGCCATTATTCTGTTAGTAGGCAGTTAGGTTGTTGAAAAAGATTTTTTAAAACTATGTTTAGTCTCTGAATGGGCAAGAATTATGTATTTTACTGATGAAGTAACTGACAGCAACTTCTTTTTGGAAGCAGTATTAAGTATAGTGGTTAAAATAATGGATTCTGGAATTGGACTATTTGCATTTGAATCTTGACTCTACTATCCTATTGAATAACTATGATTTTTGACAAGTTTATTAATGTCTTTATGCCACAGTTTCCTTTTCTGTAAAATGAACATGGGAATTATTCTTGTCTTATAGGATTATTGCAAAGATTATATAAGATTAATTCATACAAAGCATTTAGTACCTGGCGCAGTAATTGCGCAATAAATACTTTTGCTATTTAAATACCCTTTTGTTTACATAGGGGGTGATGCTATATGTATTTTCAGTAACTTACTATTTTTACTTAACAATATATTTGTCTCTAGACAAATATAGAACTGTCTCATTCTTTTAAATCCTGTGTTATTTCATGGGACATATGAATGACTCGATTTGTAAGTCAATGCTAGTTAAATTGTTTAACCCATCATCGAATTTTACTGCTGTAAGAGGCTGTTGCTAATGCAGTCCAAATTCTTTTTATAGAAACCATTTTCCTACTGAAGTTTTTCTTAGTTTTTAACTCTTTCAGGTAATGCTACAGTGAACATTCTTGTAGTCTGTTTTTTACACTTGAGAGTTTATTTGTAAGATAAAATAGGTGAGGCCGAGTGCCGTGGCATAACCTATAATCCCAGCACTTTGGGAGGCCAAGGTGGGTGGATCACTGGAGCCCAGGAGTTCAAGACCAGCCTTGGCAACATGGTGAAACCCTGCCTCTATCAAAGACACAAAAGTTAGCCAGTCTTATAACTTGGTCTCCAAATAAATAAATAGATTTCTAAAAATGTTTTTTAAAGATAAATAGGTGAAATTGCTGGGTTAACACACATGAATATTTTACATCTTGACATATATTTTTAAATTGTTCTCTGAAGGTGTAGTAAAAATTTATATCCACAGTATATGAGAATGTTCATTTTCCCATATCTTCCAACAGTAGATATTATTAGTCATTTTAATTTTCGCCAATTTGATTAATGAAAAATAGTATCTAGCTTTAATTTGCAGTTCTTTGATTACTTCTGAAAGTGAACATATTTTCATGTTTAGTAGCCATTTGCATTTCTTCTAAAAATTACCCCTTCATAATTTTGTTCATTTTCTATTGGGTTATTTTTGTTTTCTTATGAATCACAAATACCTTTTATGTATTATGGATATATTAATTATATCTTTTAATTCTGCCTGACAAAGGATTCGCCCTTTGCTTGTTGTATGTTGCTAATATTTTAATTTCTTGCTTATCTCTTAGGTTTGTTGATGGTGCCTTTGATTGCACAGAAGTTTACATCTTTTACATAGCCATATCTGTCTCTTCATTATGGCTTCTGAGTGTTGTATTTTGTCTAGGAATCCTCCCACCGCAAGATTATTATGTTTTCCTATTGTCTTCCTTTTTTGTTGTTTTATTTTTTTCTCAGGGGAGTGGAGGGAAAGGGTCTATTTCGTTTTTTAAATATTTAAATTTCTTATCCACCTGAAATATTTTTGAGGTTCTGAAAGATTGACCACGAAATCAGAAGGGTCATAACAGATAAGTCAGAGCTATAACTTAAATAAGATAGTGTATCTAACCTCTTTACTTTGTAAGTGGGGAAATTGACACTAAAGAGAGCTTACCCAGGATAATTAGTGGTAAAGTCAGGTCTCAGCCTGTCTTCATCTGATGCTTTTTCTCCCTGTACTCTGAAGAGTTTTTTGGTGAATTTTTTTTTTCTGGTAAACTCTCTTCCGGTTTAAGAATATACCATGTGGACTGACTTCATAGTTTCAGAATTAGAGCTTCGAGTGTAAATAAGCCAGGTCCTTTCATCAAATGTACCTGGTACTTACAAGCCACTATATTGTATCAGGTATTGAGATTATAAAACCTTTTCTTTACGTAAGCAAAGTTTTGAATGGCTTTTCTGTATATTCCCAATGAAATACATTTTTTTTGTATTATATACTGCCTCAGGAATTCTTTAAACTCAGAACTAGTGCAAAATGCATGTAACGCCAGTTGATTTTTGGTCCCATTTTCCTTTAGGAAAACAGGAAAGGCAGTAAAATTAAAGAAAAATCAAAGCAATGGAGGCAACCACTGCAGTTGACTTTTTTTTCTCTCTAGCATTAAATATCACCCACTTCTCATTGACTAGAGAGCAGCAGTGTTTTTATTTACTAACAAAGGCTACTTTTTATAGCCCAAGCATTCATTCCCTTATCACTTCTCTTCAATACCCATATGTATCTCAAAGTAATGTAATCAGCAAATTAGCAGTGTAAAAATGCTAGATAACTTATTCTGAAATCCACTTCCGAAATCATTTGAGCAGCTAAGTTTGAAAAACTCATGTTGGTACCAACATTTCTCTCTTTAGTGTGTGATTTTTCCCTTTTTGTGCTTCTCCTCCTTGGCTGTCTCTCCTTTCTCCTTCCCCCTCACTTACCTTGCACTTCCTTCCCTCTCCATCTCTGTAGTCTTCTCTCTCCTTTTATATCTTTTCTGTACTTACTGCTGCTTCTTAGTTATAAAATGAATTGTATAATTTAAACTGTTTAATAAATGTACTTTGTTATTTGTAATTTTCAAGTCGGGTACTAAAACCTTTATAACCTTAGCCCCCCTCCTTGAACCCTCTAAAATTAACAAAATCATATTAAGTTTTATATAGCAAGTCCTTGGGTTATACTTTTTGTTGATATTGCTAGGCAAATATGCTCTTAACAAGTAATTGCCTGAGGCAGGAGGATTGCTTGAGCCCAGGAATCCGAGTTTGCAGTGAGCTGTGATCACCACTGCACTCTAGCCTGGACAACAGAGCAAGACCCTGTCCAAAAAAAAAAGGCAGAAAAAAGTTACCAATTACAGAAAATTTCTTAGTTTTATTGGGCTGAAATTTATACTTCCTCATGGTTTCTTCCTGATAGTTCAGTTCTGCACCCTTAAATTACACAGAGAAAGTCTCTTAATTCTTTGATAGCCAGGAAGAAACTAAATTATTTCTTCCCCAAACTGAAGATGTCCATTTTATTGAGCTGTACCACACATGGCATTCTACAGATATTTAGCCTTTGAAAAATTGCAGAAAATAATGACCCACAAAATTTTACCTTTTTTTCCCCCCAGATTTAATTCAAGTAGCCTTTTTCACCTGTTCATTTGACCTGGCAATTAAAGGTGTTAAATCTCCTTGGTGTGATGTTTTTGACATAGATGATGCAAAGGTAAGTATTATTTTTGCAGTTTCTTTGCTTTTTTAAAAAAATTTTTTTTGGCTTGCTTGTTTGCATTTGGTTACTTGAAGCAGCTTTTCAGAAAATGAGTAGTTAGGGAACATAAACTGTTTTGTGACTAACTCCTAATTTTCCTTAAATAAAGAGAGATTAAAGGTTCAAATTGGTCCCACCTACTTGTAAATAGTTTAGGTTCAAAAAACTCTGGAAACATTTTTTCCATGATGATTTGATTTCTAAATCATCCCATTTACAGACCTACTTTTAACCCATCATCAAATTTTACTGCTTGGAAGGGATTATAGAGCTGATATAATCCCAGATTCTTTTTATGGGAAGCCAAAGCTCAGAGAGAATAAATGGGTTTCCAAAGTCCTAGCAACTATTTTATAACAGTTTTCATGGGAAATTGTGTTCTGTGTTTTACAGTGAACACTTGTATGTCCTTCACCTATATTTACCAGTTAACCTTTTTTGCCACATTTCCTTTATCACTCTCTCTACTATATTAGTTTCCTATTGGTGCTCTAACAAGTTACCACAAACTTACTGGCTTAAAACAATATAAGTTTATTATCTTATGGTTCTGGAGGTCAGAAGTTCAAATTGAATCTTACAGGGCTGAAATCAAGGTATCAATAGAGCCGTATACAATAGAGCCGTATTCTTTCAGGGGGCTTTAGGAGAACATCTGTACCCTGCTTTTTCTGATCTCCAGAGGCTGCTTGCATTTCCTATCACTCAGACTTCTGACGGGTACATCTCCAGCTCTAACTGTCCTTCCTGCCTGCCTCTCGTAAGGATACTTGTTGATTACACTGGGCCCACCTAGATAGTCCAGGATTTATCTCTCCATCTCGAGATTCATAAGTTAATCACACTGGCAGATTCCCTTTTATCAGGTAAGGTAACATATTCATAGGATGTCAGGGATTAGAATGTGGACATATGGGAGCTGTTTTTTCTGTCTACCGTGTGTATATAATCTTTTTTTCCCCGCCCCACCATCAGGATGCTTCACCCTTAAATACTTGGGCATGCATCTAGGACAAGAACATTCTTTTGTATAACCACAATACAGAATACTATAGTTCATATTTATGTATATCATATATATCACAATATTTTCTAATGTACAGTCAACTTTCAAATTTTCACGTCTTAAGTCTTTTATAGCTGTTTTTTGTTTGCTTTGTTTTATAAGATTCAGGATCTAATAAGGGATCATTCATTGCATTTGGTTGCATTTCTTTTAGTCTCGTTTAACCTGAAAGAGTGCTCCAGCCTTTCTTTTGTCCTTCGTACATTGGCGTTTTGGAAGAGTCTAGGCCAGGTTTTTTGCAGAATGTTTTTGGATGTGTCTGATATTTTTTACTCAGGATTAGATTCAGATTAAACATTTTTGACAAGAGCACTACGTAAGTGATATATCCTTCTCAGTGCATCATATCAGAAGGACTGATGTCTGCTTGTCATGTCATTGATTATTATTACTATTTTTTTGAGACAGTGTCTCTCTCTGTTGCCCAGGCTGGAGTGCAGTGGCGCAATCTCAGCTAACTGAAACCTCTGCCTCCCGGATTCAAGTGATTTTCCTGCCTCAGCCTCTCCAGTAGCTGGGATTACAGGCGTGTGCTACCATGCCCAGGTAATTTTTTTATTTTTAGTAGAGATGGGGTTTCACCATGTTAGCCAGGCTGATCTTGAACTCCTGACCTTAGGTGATCTGCCCGCCTGGGCCCCCCAAAGTGCTGGTATTACAGGCATCAGCCACCACTCCTGGCCAGTGATGTTTGATCATTAGATTACAATGGTGCCTGCCTGATTTCTTTATTGTAGAGGTACTTTTTTTCCTTGTAAATAAAGAACTTCTTGGCCGGGCGTGGTGGTTCATGCCTGTAATCCCAGCACTTTGGGCGGCCAAGGCGGGTGGATCACCTGAGGTTAGGAGTTCGAGACCAGCCTGGCCAATGTGGTGAAACCCCGTCCATACTAAAAATTAAAAAATTAGCCAAGCGTGGTGGTGCACACCTGTGATCCCAGCTACTCGGGAGGCTGAAGCAGGAGAATCGCTTGAACCCAGGAGGTGGAGGTTGCAGTGAGCCAAGATTGTGCCACTGCATTCCAGCCTGGGCAACAAAGCAAGACTCTGTCTCAGAAAAAAAAGGAAAAAAGGAAAAAAAAGAACTTCTAATTTAAATGACTGTGACTTGAAAATTTAAATACATGTTTATTAAATTAATTGAATAATAGTTTCTTTTTACATGTGAAAAGAAATTAAATTCTTCTTTTAAAAATTAAGGTTGTCTTTTGATTGAGGTATTTTCTATTATTTACTTCAGCAATTTGTTAGAAAATAATTTATCCCTGCTTAGGACTTTCACTGTGAAATAGGTTTATATGCTGAAGTATTTACAGGTGAAATAAAATGATACCTGGGATTTGCTTCAAAATAATACAGTGGTGGTGGTAGGAGCAAAGCTGAAATGGGATTGGTTGAATGTTGATTATTGTTGAAGTTGGATGAGTACACAGAGGTTCGTTATACTACTGTTTTATATTTTTTATGTGTTTAAAGTTCTTTGTTAAGAATTTTTTTTTTTTTTTTTTTTTTTTGAGACAGAGTCTTCCTCTGTCGCCCAGGCTGGAGTGCAGTGGCCCAATCTCAGCTCACTGCAACCTCTGCCTCTTGCGTTCAAGCAGTCCTCCTGCCTCAGCCTCCCCAGTAGCTGGGATTACAGGCATGTGCCATCATGCCCGGCTAATGTTTGTATTTTTAGTAGAGACGGGGTTTCACCATGTTGGCCAGGCTGGTCTCGAACTCCTGAACTCAAGTGATCCGCCCGCCTCACCCTCCCAAAGTGCTGGGTTTACAGGTGTGAGCCACCGCACCTGGCCAAGAATGTTTTTTACAATTAAAAATTAATAGACATTTATGAAATTCTGAGATAATTAGATATCCTGGACTTTGTGTACCTTCAGCAAGCATTTTTTGAGTTTCCGTTCTGTGACAAGCACTTGCTTGGAACTAAAGACACTAACATAAGATAGATATTGTCCTCAAAGAATGCCACAAGGAATGAAAGACATGTAACTAAACCATTGCAAGACAATAGGATGTCTATACAGTGATAGAAGTATACTCAGATGCTCCTTAAGTTATGGTGGGGTTGCATCCAGATAAACCCATGGTAGATTGAATATCTTAAGTTGGAAGTACATTTACGACTTACAATGGATTTATCCAGACATAGCCTCGTTGTAAGTCAAGGAGCGCACTGAAAGTGTATTGCTTTTGAACCATTGTAAAGTTGAAAAATTTTAAGTCAAACCATCATAAGTTGCAGACTGCCCATGAAAGGTGTAGTGGGGCACAAAGGAGAAAGTTAATTTGTAGGATAGCTTTTTTGCAATTTGTGTCTGCTTTAATAAGTATATCTAGATTTTCTCTCTCCTGGGATTAGTTTTGGTATTTAATATACCTATAAAAGTCATTTATGTTATCCATTATTTGCTGAATTAAGCAAATATATCTTTTGATTTTAAAAAGTGTTTTCCTTCTCTGAAATTATTTCTCCGTAATTGTGTATTTTTGCTTTCAATTTTTTCTTTATTACAGTAGTTTATTGTTTACTAATTTATTTTTTCCCTAAGAAACAGTTTAGCTTTATCTGTTTTTGAACTTTATAATGATGGAATTACTCAGCGTGTGTTTTTTTTCTTTTGGTATCTAGCTCTTGTTCAACATTAAGTTTTTAAGATTTATTTGGGAGCTAAATGGTGAGAACACATGGACAGATAGAGGGGAACAACATACACTGGGGCCTTTCAGAGGGCAGAGGATGGGAAGAGAGAGAGGATCAGGAAAAATAACTAATGGGCACTAGGATTAATAACTGGGTAATGAAGTAATCCATACAACAAACTCCCACGACACAAGTTAAAAAAAAAGCTTCCCATTTATAGATTGCTACTTAGAAGGCAGGGATTTGAACTGGGAGGAATTTAAAATGATCTTGACCTGTTGTGTTGTGAAAAGGTTTACAAATTTCAGGAAAATATACCTCTTCTCAAATGGATTGGGAATTATGAGGTCACAGACATTTCTCAGGATTCCGTAAAACATGTACCTGTAGCAGAGTATTAGAGGAGATTGAAGCAAAGGGGCAAGCGGTAACTTCTTGGGGGCGATTAAGTCATTGTATTATCATGGTGGGGGCAGGTTATACAGTTGTTTATATTTGTCGAAAGTCATCAGCCTGTATATTTAAATCATGTGTATGTAAATTACAATTTAATAAAGTTTTAAAAATGAAAAAAGATTTATGAGGTTGCATATAGCTACAATTTTTAATTTTCATTACTGTATAATATTCCATTATATGAATATTTTACAGTTTATTCATTATCTTTTCAGTAGACATTGTTTTTAGTTTGGGGCTATTATGAACCTTGTTGCTATGAACATTATTGTATATGTTTATTGGGGTACAGGTATACCTGTTTCTGAAGGTGTATGTCTGGTAGAATTATCGATTCTCATGCTTCAGCCTCCTGAGTAGCTGGGACCACAGGCATCCGCCACCACACCTGGCTAATTTTTGTATTTTTAGTAGAGACGGGGTTTTGCCATGTTGGCCAGGCTGGTCTTGAACTCTTGACCTCAAGGGAGCCACTTGCCTCAGCCTCCCAAACTGTTGGGATTACAGGTGTGAGCCACTGCACCTGGCCTTTTTTTTTTTTTTTTGAGACAGAGTCTTGCTCTGTCACCCAGGCTGGAGTACAGAGGCGTGATCTCGGCTCACTGCAAGCTCCACCTCCCGGGTTCAAGCCATTCTGCTGCCTCAGCCTCCCGAGCAGCTGGGATTACAGGCACCCGCCACCACACCCGGCTAATTTTTTGTGTTTTTAGTAGAGACGGGGTTTCACCCTGTTAGCCAGGATGGTCTCGATCTCCTGACCTCGCAATCCGCCTGTCTCAGCCTCCCAAAGTGCTGGGATTACAGGCGTGAGCCACCGCACCCGGCCCTTTTTTTTTTTTAAATATAAAGTTTTAGTGGTAAGCATGTGAGAATTTTTTAAATCTCCAGTTGCCTCCTTTTTATTTCTAATAGTAGATTTTATTATTTGAATAGATTGAACAGACTATTATCTAATTCCTTTTTAAATTTCTTAGTGTTTACGTCTCTTTGTTAACTTCTTGATTTCATTGCCTTTGTGTAAGGACAGACTCTCTCAAGCCGTGTTTTTCCTTTACTCTCACACCACCATCACAATCATCAACACAGAAGACTTCTGTGACCAAATGTGTGGGAGCCTTTCCCCTGCACGCCAAGCAGGAGACACCAGCTGGGTGTCCTCCAGTTCAGATTTGACATTGTCTACCTGGAGGTAGTATTAGATCCCACAGGTTGAGGGCTCAGTCCCCAAGTGCCCCATCGGTACTCTTCTGTTCAGCTGGCTTCAAGTTGGCGTTCCCATGACCTCTTCTTTGGGTTCAGTTAATTTGCTGTAGCAGCTCACAGAACTCAAGGAAACACTTTTGCTGGTTTATTATAAAGGATGTTACAAAGGATACAGATGAAGAGATGAGTAGGGCGAGATATGGGGGAAGGGGCGTGGAGCTTCCATGTCCTCCCTGGGCATGCCACCCTCCAGGAAGCTCCACATGTTCAGCTATCTGTAAGCTCTCTAAACCCAGTCCTCTTGGGTTTTTATGGAAGTATTCCTTCCCCCCAGGATATGAGGCAGGACCCTTTCAGGGCAGGATCTTAAGACCCCCAGAAAGGCAGGAAGATTAGAGTTCTGCCTCCGCACAGGTGAAAGGGAGGCAGGAGAGAGATTCTGTTTCCTGAGGCCTGCCCTGGAGGCCTAACACACCCAGCATTATACCAAAAGACTACAACAAGGGATATGGGAGTTACAAACCAGGAAGTGTGGACGAAAGCCAATATATACATATCATAATACCACAGGTCAGCCCCTGGTTTTCGAAGAGGGATACCTTACATCAAAAGAATATATACAATCATTAATAATCCAGTCCATCATCTGTATGAATGTCTTCCAGGGCAAGGCCACTCAGGTTTGCCAGCTTCCTTTCAATCCTGTCAGGTTCCAAAACCAGGAGTGGTCTTGGCAAATTTATGGCTTCACCCTTTCATGCATCTGTCATACTTGAGCTAAGAGACAGCGTCACCTTTTGCTCTGAGCCCCGTTCAAGGCGTTCATGTAATATGTCATTTCCTTCAATTTATAACCCGTTTATTCATCCTTTTTCCCTCAGCTGTTCTCCTTTTCTTCATTAATAAATATCTACACTGCTACCTTTGGAAGGGACACAAGTTGCCATTGTGCTGTGCTAGTCTAGATTGTAGGCAGCAATGCTAGTGTAGCAAGTAGCTCCTCCTCACCCCTTTAATGTATTTTTTGTTTTGTTTTTATATATGGCACTGACCCACCCCTGCTCTTAAAACTTACTATGACATGCACTTAGTTTCTCTAGGAGCTCTTTCGGGAAGAAAGGTTTGTGACTATTGTAGTCATCTTGAACCTCTTTTGGGTTACATATTTTAGTCCCCTAGTTGTGGTTTTAGCTACAGGTTTTAGTTCTAGATAGAGATTTCAGTTCTCCACTTCTACATGAGCAAATGATCAAATGATATGTAAGTGGAAAATTTAACCCTCAGATAAAGGCTACTTAATTACCAGCTCCCGGTTCCAGACCTTTCAGCAGAGGTTAATAACTGTAATCAGTGATAGGTAGGTTTCAAACCGTTTTCTATACTTTTATAATCTGTATCATTCTTAGAAATATAAAAGGTATAGTGTGTGTGTGTGTGTGTGTGTTGGTAATAAATGGTATTATAGGGTATGTATTATTTTTAATGGGTTCTTATTCAACATTGTGTCTTGGAGATTTTTCCATGTCAGTACATGGAAATCTATAATATAGAACTTTTTGATAACTGCAAAGTATTCTGAAGTATGTGTATACCATAGTTTATTTAACCATCTACCTACTATTGGAATTTAGTTGTTTCTGGGGATTTTTTGGCTTCTATAAGCAGTGCTACTATAAGTCATTCTTGTACATTCTCCCTGGTGTTCCTCTGTGAATATCACTTTATAAGAAATGGAATTAAATGGGTCATAGGGTATGTGTGTTTTCATGGATTTTGCCAATTTGCCCTCTAGAATGTCTATACCAATATACATTCCTTCCAACAGTACCCATTTCCCCATATCCTTGGTACACTTTTATTATTATTTTTTCACCAAACAGATACATGAACCAAAGTAACTCATTTTCTATTTGACTTCTACCTTCTCAAAATTCTTATACATTTCTCATCCACCTATGGTATCTTTCTGTGCTTTAATGAATATTCTTCTTCTTTATTCTTTCTTCTAAATGTATCCTTGACATTTAGAAGAAAGAATAAAGAAGAATATTAATATAATATCATCTTAATATAATGTTAGAAGAAAGGAGAGGTGAGCACATGTCCTTACTCCACTCTCTTGAGCTGTCCTGACCTTGGATGATTGGCTGTGAGCACTTACTGGCTTGCTCTTGCACACCAGCATCTACATTCCCCCAATCCAAATTTGTGATGCAGCATAAATCTCTCTGTGGTATGAACCTTAGGGACCAACTCTTAAATGCTGGAAAGGACAAATACTATATTTTGTGCAGAATGGTAATTAAACATTGTAACCATTTCTTAGAGAATCATTATTAAATCAGGGAATCTTGTTATATTTTTGAAAATATATTAGAAATTATTTTTGAATTTTTTTAGGTATTAGAATATTTAAATGATCTGAAACAATATTGGAAAAGAGGATATGGGTATACTATTAACAGTCGATCCAGCTGCACCTTGTTTCAGGATATCTTTCAGCACTTGGACAAAGCAGTTGAACAGAAACAAAGGTAAGAACTTTCTAAAAAATGTGAAGTACATTTTGAGTTACTACTAAACTTCTGGAAATTTTTTTATAATGAGTAATTTTAAAAAATAGTTTTTGCTTGTGTTTTAAAAAAATTTTAATATAATGTGATACAAAAGAATTCGATAACATATATGTAAATTATAAAACATACGAACCTTCCACTCTACCCAAGAACTAGAATATTCATAATAAATTGCATTTGTTTACTTATGTGTTCCTCAACTATTCCATTTTCCTGCCTCCTCTTGCCCTTCCCTTTCCTCCAGAAACTATTCTTTGGAATTTTGTATTGGTCATTCCTTCGCCTCTTTAAAACAGTTTATATTATGAATGTATTGGTGCCCAAAGAATATATTTAGTTTTTCTTGGAATCATACTGCTTATTGTCTTTTGGGACTTGCTTTGTTTCCCCCCTCAACTTTATGTTTTTAATATTCAACATATTATTGCATATAGCTGTAGTTCATTTTCACTGTAGTACAATATTCAATAATGTGAATATACCATCTACTCTTGTCAGTGGGCATTTAGATAGTTCCTATCTTTTGCTGTTATAATTAGTGTAATTATGAACTCTATGTGGCTCCTGCTATGAATGTGCAAAATGTTTTTGTTTTGAAAGAGAAAAAGCTTTTGTTAACATTTATAATCTTCAATTAAAAATAATTTTTCATGACTTGAACCTTTGATAGAACCTCAATTCCAGGCTTGTTTCAAACTTCTGGGCTCAAGGAATCCTCTCCCGTTGGTCTCCCAAAGTGTTGGGATTACAGGCATGAGCCACTGCACCCAGCTGAGCACAGAGAACTTTGTAGGTGGTAGAAGTTTTCCCAAACTGGATTGTGGTGATTACACAGACAGCTGTATACATTTGTTAAGATATCTAACTCTTTAATTAAAACTGATGAATTTCATGGTAGTTATGCTTCAGTAAAACTTAATCTGAGTATTTAACAAAAGTGTAAAAAAAAACGGAATGAAATAATTTTTTGGTAAAAGTGGAAAAATTTTTTTTAAAGAAGACTCCATTTTTCTGAATTAGTAAAGTTTTTTTTTACAAGGCAACACCAAAATGCTTATGACATAATTACTGAAAATGTTTTAAAATTATTAGATCACTTCCCTGCATTGATGCGCAATATATTGGAAAATAATTGAATTTTTTTAATTAAGGATTTTACAGTGTCATAGGGTCATTATTTTTTAAAACAGTTTGAGAAATAATTCATATGTAGGCATGTCTCAAAGATAGTGCAAGTTCAATTCCAGACCACTGCAAAAAAGTGAATATCACAATGAAGGGAGTCACACAATTTTTTTGGTTTCCCGGTGCATATAAAAGTTATGTTTATACTATAATAAGTGTGCAATAGCATTTTGTCTTAAAAAACAATACATACATACCTTAATTTAAAAATGCTTTATTACTAGGAAATGCCCATGATCATCTGAGCCTTCAGAGAGTTGTAATCTTTTTGCAGGTGAAGGGTTTTGCCTCAGGTGTTGAGGCTGCTGACTGATGAGAGTGGTGGTTGCTGAAGGCTGGGGTGGCTGTGGCAATTTATTGTAAAAGAAAATATCAATGAGGTTTGCTGCATCAGTTGACTCTTTCTTTCATGAAAGATGTCTCTGTAACACATGATGCCGTTTAATAACATTTTACCCACAGTAGAACATATTTTAAAATTGGAGTCAATCCTCTCAAAGCCTGTCACTGCTTTGTCACTGTCACAATCCTTTGTTGTCATTTCAACAATATTCATAGTATCTTCACCAGGCGTAGATTTCATCTCAAGAAACCACTTTGTTCATCCATAAGAAGCAACTCCTCAGGTGTTCAAGTTTGATCATGATATTGCAGTAATTCAGTCACATCTTTGGGCACCACTTGTAATTTTCTTGCTATTTCCACCACATCTGCAGCTACTTCCTATCATCCATGAGGGTTGGAATCAGCCTCTTCCAAACTCCTGGTAATGTTGATATTTTGACCTCCTCCCATGAATTACAAATATTCTTAATGGCATCTAGAGTGGTGAAACCTTTCTGGGAGGTTTCCAGTTTACATTCCTCAGATCCATTAAAGGCATCACTGTCTATGACAGCTATAGCCTTATGACATTTATTTCTTAAATAAATAATATTTCTCTGTCATATGAAATTTCTGTTTTTTTTTTTTGAGACAGAGTCTCGTTCTGTCACCCAGGCTGGAGTGCAGTGGCGTGATCTCGGCTCATTGCAAGCTCCGCCTCCTGGGTTCACGCCATTCTCCTGCCTCAGCCTCCCGAGTAGCTGGGACTACAGGCACCTGCCACCACACCCAGCTAATTTTTTTTTTTTTTTGTATTTTTAGTAGAGATGGGGTTTCACCTTGTTAGCCAGGATGGTCTCGATCTCCTGACCTTGGATCCGCCTGCCTCGGCCTCCCAAGAAATTTATTTCTTAAATAATTTATTTCTTAAATATTTCTTAAATTTATTTCTTAATTAATTTCTTAAAATTTATAATGAAATCAAAATTACTACTTGATCTATGGGATGCAGAATAGATTTTGTTTTAGCAGACATGAAAACAACATTAATTTCCTTGTACATCTCCATCAGAGCTCTTGGATGACCAAGTGTATTGTCAATGAGCAGTAATATTTTGAAAGGAATCTTTCTTTCTGAGCAGGAGGTCTCAATAGTAGGCTTCAAAGAGCCAGTAAGCCATGCTGTGTAAAAATAGATGTGCTGTCATCCAGGCTTTGTTGTTCTATTTATAGAGCACAGGCAGAATAGATTTAGCATAATTCTTACGGGCCCTAGAATTTTTGGAATGACCAGTGAGTATTGGCTTCAACTTACAGTCAGGAGCTGCGTTATCTGCTAACAAGAGAGTCATCCTATCCTTTGAAGCCAGACATTGATGTTCTAGATGGTATCTTCTTCCAAAAGAAGGCTGTTTTGTCTACATTGAAAATCTGCTTAGTATAGTGACCTTCAGTTATCTTAGCTAGATCTTCTGGATCACTTGCAGTTTCTACATCAGGACTTGCTGCTTCAACTTACATTTTTGTGTTATGGAGATAGCTTTTTTCCTTAAACCCCATGAGCTAACCTCTGCCAGCTTCTAACTTTTCTTTTGCAGCTTCCTTACCTCTTAGCTTTTCTAGAATTGAGGAGAGTTAGAGCCTTGCTGTGGATTAGGCTTTGGCTAAGGGGAATGTTGCAGCTGTTTGGATCTTCTACCAGAGCACTGAAACTTTCTTCCTATCAGCAATAACATTCTTCCACTTTCTTATCATCCATGTGTTCACTGGAGTAGCACTTTTAATTTCCTCCAAGAACTTTTCCTTTTCATTCATAACTTGGCTAACTGACCCAAGAGACCTAGTTTTTGGCCTGTTTCAGCTTAGGACATGCCTTCCTCACTAAGCTTAATCATATCTAGCTTTTGAGTTAAAGTGAAAGATGTGTGAGTCTTGCTTTCATTTGAACACTTAGAGGCCATTGTAGGATTATTAATTGACGTAATTTCAGTATTATATCTCAGGGAATAGGGAGACTGGAGGAGAGGAAAGAGGATGGAGAATGGCTGGTCGGTGGAGCAGTCAGAACATATACAACATTTATCAGTTAAATTTACCATCTTATATGGGTGGGGTTCATGGCACCCCAAAACAATTACAAAAGTAACATAAAAGATCACTGATCACAGATCACCATAACAGATATAATAATCATAGTAATAATTAAAAAAACTTTGAAATATTGTGTATTACTAAAATGTGATACATTACTAAAATGTGATACATTACTAAAATGTGATACACAAAATGAGCACGTGCTGTTGGAAAAATTACACAGATGGCCTTGCTTAACTCAGGATTGCCACAAACCTTCCATTTGTGGCAAAATGCAGTATCTACAAAGCACAATAAATCAAAGCACAAGATGAGGTAATACCTGTATCATATACAGTTTACCTACTTAAAGTGCACAATTCAGTGTTTTAGTATATTCACAGAGTTGCACAACCATCACTACTGCAACTTTAGAACATTTTCATCGCCTCAAAAAGAAACTCTATATGCTGTGCCTTAGCAGTCACTCTCCATTCACCCTCACTCTGCCATCCCCTGGCAACCACTAATATATTTTCTGTCTGCATGCATTGGCATATTCTGGACATTTCATATAAATGGAATGATATAATATGTGGTTCTTTGTGACAGGCTTTTATGATTTAGCATCATATTTTTAAGGTTCTTCCATGTTGTACATGTAGCAGTAGCATGTATCATTCTTTTTCATGGCTGAATAATATTCCTTTGTATTACTATATCATGTTTTTGTTCATCTTATTTTCTTTTTTTCACCTTTTTTAAAGTTATACTTCAAGTTCTAGGGTACATGTGCACAATGTGCAGGTTTGTTACATATGTATACATGTGCCATGCTGGTGTGCTGCACCCATTAACTCGTCATTTACGTTAGGTATATCTCCTAATGCTATCCTTTCCCCCTCCCCCTACCCCACGACAGGCCCACGCCATGACAGGTGTGTGATGTCCCCCATGCTGTGTCAAGTGCTCTCATTGTTCAGTTCCCACCTATGAGTGAAAACATGCAGTGCTTGGTTTTCTGTCCTTGCGATAGTTTGCTCAGAATGATGGTTTCCAGCTTCATCCATGTGCCTACAAAGGACATGAACTCATCCTTTTTTATGGCTGCATAGTATTCCATGGTGTATAAGTGCCACATTTTCTTAATCCAGTCTATCATTGATGGACATGTGGGTTGGTTCCAAGTCTTTGCTATTGTGAATAGTGCCGCAATAAACATACATGTGCATGTATCTTTATAGCAGCATGATTTATAATCCTTTGGGTATATACCCAGTAATGGGATGGCTGGGTGAAATGGTATTTCTAGTTCTAGATCCTTGAGGAATCACCACACTGTCTTCCACAATGGTTGAACTAGTTTACAGTCCAACCAACAGTGTAAAAGTGTTCTCACATCCTCTCCAGCACCTGTTGTTTCCTGACTTTTTAATGATTGCCATTCTGACTGGTGTGAGATGGTATCTCATTGTGGTTTTGATTTGCATTTCTCTGATGGCCAGTGATGATGAGCATTTTTTCATGTGTCTGTTGGCTGCATAAATGTCTTGTTTTGAGAAGTGTCTGTTCATATCCACCCACTTTTTGATGGGGTTGTTTGATTTTTTCTTGTAAATTTGTTTAAGTTCTTTGTAGATTCTGGATATTAGCCCTTTGTCAGATGGGTAGATTGTAAAAATTTTCTCCCATTCTGTAGGTTGCCTGTTCACTCTGATGGTAGGTTCTTTTGCCGTGCAGAAGCTCTTTAGTTTAATTAGATCCCATTTGTCAATTTTGGCTTTTGTTGCCATTGCTTTTGGTGTTTTAATCATGAAGTCCTTGCCCATGCCTATGTCCTGAATAGTACTGCCTAGGTTTTCTTCTAGGGTTTTTATGGTTTTAAGTCTAACTTTTAAGTCTTTAACCCATCTTGAATTAATTTTTGTATAAGGTGTGAGGAAGGGATCCAGTTTCAGCTTTCTACATATGGCTAGCCAGTTTTCCCAGCACCATTTATTAAATAGGGAATCCTTTCCCCATTTCCTGTTTTTGTCAGATTTGTCAAAGATCAGATGGTTGTAGATGTGTGGTATTATTTCTGAGGGCTCTGTTCTGTTCCATTGGTCTATATCTTTGTTTTGGTACCAGTACCATGCTGTTTTGGTTACTGTAGACTTGTAGTGTAGTTTGAAGTCAGGTAGCATGATGCCTCCAGCTTTGTTCTTTTGGCTTAGGATTGTCTTGGCAATGTGGGCTCTTTTTTGGTTCCATGCGAACTTTAAAGTAGTTTTTTCCAATTCTGTGAAAAAAGTCATTGGTAGCTTAATGAGGATGGCATTGAATCTATACATTACCTTGGGCAGTATGACCATTTTCACTATATTGATTCTTCCTATCCATGAGCATGGAATGTTCTTCCATTTGTTTGTGTTCTGTTTTATTTCCTTGAGCAGTGGTTTGTAGTTCTCCTTGAAGAGGTCCTTCACATCCCTACAATTGTGAATGGGAGTTCACTCATGATTTGGCTCTATGTTGAGTAGGAGTGGTGAGAGAAGGCATCCCTGTCTTGTGCCAGTTTTCAAAGGGAATGCTTCCAGTTTTTGCCCATTCAGTATGATATTGGTTGTGGGTTTGTCATAAATAGCTTTTATTATTTTGAGATATGTCCCATCAATACCTAGTTTATTGAGAGTTTTTAGCATGAAGGGCTGTTGAATTTTGTCAAAGCCCTTTTCTGCATCTATTGAGATAATCATGTGGTTTTTTCCTTTGGTTCTGTTTATATGATGGATTACTGATTTATTGATTTGCATATATTGAACCAGCCTTGCATCCCAGGGATGAAGCCAACCTGATCATGGTGGATAAGCTCATCAGGGATATTGGTCTAAAATTCTTTTTTTTTGTTGTGTCTCTGCCAGGCTTTCAGGATGATGCTGGCCTCATAAAATGAGTTAGGGAGGATTCCCTCTTTTTCTTTTAACTGGAATAGTTTCAGAAGGAATGGTACCAGCTCGTCTTTGTACCTCTTGTAGAATTTGGCTGTGAATCCGTCTGGTCCTGGACTTTTTTTGGTTGGTAGGCTATTAATTATTGCCTCAATTTCAGAGCCTGCTATTGGTCTATTCAGGGATTCACCTTCTTCCTGGTTTAGTCTTGGGAGGGTGTATGTGTCCAGGAATTTGTCCATTTCTTCTAGATTTTCTAGTTTGTTTGCGTAGAGATGTTTATACTATTCTCTGATGATAGTTATATTTCTGTGGGATTGGTGGTGATATCCCCTTTATCATTTTTTATTGTGTCTATTTGATTCTTCTTTCTTTTCTTCTTTATTAGTCTTGCTAGCAGTCTATCAGTTTTGTTGATCTTTTCAAAAACCCACCTCCTAGATTCACTGATTTTTTTTGAAGGGTTTTTTGTGTCTCTATCTCCTTCAGTTCTGCTCTGATCTTAGCTATATCTTGCCTTCTGCTAGCTTTTGAATGTGTTTGCTCTTGTTTCTCTAGTTCTTTTAATTGTGATGTTAGGGTGTCAATTTTAGATCTTTCCTGCTTTCTCTTGTGGGCATTTAGTGCTATAAATTTCCCTGTACACCCTGCTTTAAATGTGTCCCAGAGATTCTGGTATGTTGTGTCTTTGTTCTCATTGGTTTCAAAGAACATCTTTATTTCTGCCTTCATTTCGTTATGTACCCAGTAGTCATTCAGGAGCAGTTTGTTCAGTTTCCATGTAGTTGAGCGGTTTTGAGTGAGTTTCTTAATCCTGAGTTCTAGTTTGATTGCACTGTGGTCTGAGAGACAGTTTGTTATAATTTCTATTCTTTTACATTTGCTGAGGAGTGCTTTACTTCCAACTATGTGGTCAATTTTGGAATAAGTGTGATGTGGTGCTGAGAAGAATGTATATTCTGTTGATTTGGGGTGGAGAGTTCTGTAGATGTCTATTAGGTCTGCTTGGTGCAGAGCTGAGTTCAATTCCTGGATATCCTTGTTAACTTTCTGTTTCGTTGATCTGTCTGATGTTGACAGTGGGGTGTTAAAGTCTCCCGTTATTATTGTGTGGGAGTCTAAGTCTCTTTGTAGGTCTCTAAGGACTTGCTTTATGAATCTGGGTGCTCGTGTATTGGGTGCATATATATTTGGGATAGTTAGCTCTTCTTGTTGAATTGATCCCTCTACCGTTATGTAATGGCCTTCTTTGTCTCTTTTGATCTTTGCTGGTGTAAAGTCTGTTTTATCAGAGACTAGGATTGCAACCCCTGCTTTTTTTTGTTTTCCATTTGCTTGGTAGATCTTCCACCATCCCTTTATTTTGAGCCTATGTGTGTCTCTGCACATGAGTTGTGTCTCCTGAATACAGCACACTGATGGGTCTTGACTCTTTATCCAATTTGCCAGTCTGTGTCTTTTAATTGGAGCATTTAGCCCATTTACATTTAAGGTTAATATTGTTATGTGTGAATTTGATCGTGTCATTATGATGTTAGCTGGTTTTTTGCTAATTAGTTGATGCAGTTTCTTCCTAGCCTCGATGGTCTTTACAATTTGGCTTGTTTTTGCAGTGGCTGGTACCGGTTGTTCCTTTCCATGTTTAGTGCTTCCTTCAGGAGCTCTTGTAAGGCAGGCCTGGTGGTGACAAAATCTTTCAGCATTTGCTTGTCTGTAAAGGATTTTATTTCTCCTTCACTTATGAAGCTTAGTTTGGCTGGATATGAAATTCTGGGTTGAAAATTCTTTAAGAAGGTAGAATATTGGCCCCCACTCTCTTCTGGCTTGTAGAGTTTCTGCCAAGAGATCCACTGTTAGTCTGATGGGCTTCCCTTTGTGGGTAACCCGACCTTTCTCTCTGGCTGCCCTTAACATTTTTTCCTTCATTTCAACTTTAGTGAATCTGACAATTATGTGTCTTGGAGTTGCTCTTCTCAAGGAGTATCTTTGTGGCGTTCTCTGTATTTCCTGAATTTGAGTGTTGGCCTGCCTTGCTAGGTTGGGGAAGTTCTCCTGGATAACATCCTGAATAGTGTTTTCCAACTTGGTTCCATTCTCCCCATCACTTTCAGGTACACCAGTCAGACGTAGATTTGGTCTTTTCACATAGTCCCATATTTCTTGGAGGCTTTGTTCATTTCTTTTTGTTCTTTTTTCTCTAAACTTCTCTTCTCGCTTCATTTCATTCATTTGATCTTCAATCACTGATACCCTTTCTTGCACTTGATTGAATCGGCTACTGAAGCTTGTGCATGCATCACTTAGTTCTCGTGCCATGGTTTTCAGCTCCATCAGGTCATTTAAGGTCTTCTCTAGGCTGTTTATTCTAGTTAACCATTCGTCTAATCTTTTTTCAAGGTTTTTAGCTTCTTCGTGATGGGTTCGAACATCCTCCTTTAGCTCACAGAAGTTTGTTATTACCAATCGTCTGAAGCCTTCTTCTCTCAACTCGTCAAAGTCATTCTCCGTCCAGCTTTGTTCCATTGCTGGTGAGGATCTGTGTTTCTTTGGAGGAGAAGAGGTGCTCTGATTTTTAGAATCTTCAGCTTTTCTGTTCTGGTTTCTCCCCATCTTTGTGGTTTCATCTACCTTTGGTCTTTGATGATGGTGATGTACAGATGGGGTTTTGGTGTGGATGTCCTTTCTGTTTGTTAGTTTTCCTTCTAACAGTCAGGACCCTCAGCTTCAGGTCTGCTGGAGTTTGCTGGAGGTCCACTCCAGACCCTGTTTGCCTGGGTATCACCAGCGGAGGCTGCAGAACAGCAAATATTGCAGAATGGCAAATGTTGCTGCCTGATCCTTCCTCTGGAAGCTTCGTCTCAGAGGGGATGGGTTGTCAGTCGGCCCCTACTGGGAGGTGCCCCCCCAGTTAGGCTACTTGGGGGTCAAGGACCCTCTTGAGGAGGCAGTCTGTCCGTTCTCAGATCTCAGACTCCGTGCTGGGAGAACCAGTACTCTCTTCAAAGCTGTCAGACAGGGACGTTTAAGTCTGCAGAAGTTTCTGCTGCATTTTGTTCAGCTACGCCCTGCCCCCAGAGGTGGAGTCTACAGAGGCAGGCAGGCCTCCTTGAGTTGCAGTGGGCTCCACACAGTTCAAGCTTCCTGGCGGCTTTGTTTACCTACCCAAGCCTCAGCAATGGTGGACGCCCTTCCCCTAGCCTCACTGCTGCCTTGCAATTCGATTTCAGGCTGCTGTGCTAGCAGTGAGCGAGGCTCTGTGGGCATGGGACCCTCCGAGCCAGGCGCAGGATATAATCTCCTGGTGTGCCGTTTGCTAAGACCATTGGAAAAGTGCAGTATTAGGATGGGAGTGTCCTGATTTTCCAGGTACTGTCTGTCATGGCTTCCTTTGGCTAAGAAAGGGAATTCCCTGACCCCGTGCGCTTCCCGGGTGAGGCGATGCCCCGTCCTGCTTTGTCTCATGCTCCGTGGGCTACACCCACTGTCTGACAAGCCCTAGTGGGATGAACCCGCTACCTCAGTTGGAAATGCAGAAATCACCTGTCTTCTGCATGGCTCACACTGGGAGCTGTAGACTGGAGCTGTTCTTGGAACCTCCTCCTCATCATCTTGCTTATTTTCTTATAATTTGCTTATCTCACCTACAAATAAATTACAGAGGGAAAAATGCAACTAATTGAGCACTCCATTTTTGGTAGCTAGTAGCTGATGGTATTTTAATAAACTGAGAAGCTAATGAGGTGAATTTTCATGCATGGCTTGTAGTAGCAGGTGCAGTTCTGTGGTGTAGAGGCAATATGACATAGTAGGCAGTTGCTTGGATTTGGTTTGACTCCTGGTCCTGCTTTATGGATGCTGCAGATTCCTTACTTTGGAAAAGAGGAATGAAGAATGCCTAGCCCTAATGTGAAAATTCAAAATACTCCAAACTCCAAAACTTTTTGAGTGCGGATGTGATGCAGCAAGTCAAAAATTCCACACCTGACCTCCTGTGATGGGTTGTAGTTGAAACTTTTAAAATTATTTAAAATATCGTATAAAACTACCTTCATGCTATGTATGTAAGGTGTATATGGAACATAAATGAATTTCATGTCTAGACTTGGGTCCCATCCCCAAGATTATATATATGAAAATATTTCAAAATCTGAAAAAATTTGAAATCCAAAAGATTTATGGTCACGAACATTTTGGATAAGGAATACTCAACCTATACCTCACCTGACTCATGGAATTGTGATAATCAAGTGAGATAATACTTATTAAAGCACTTAGTATAATATGATATACAGACATGGTATTGGTATTATATGTGATAGTTCTCTGGCCCAAACATGTCCTTAATGTCTTTTTCAGATATTCACACACCCTTCCCCTCTACCACCCCTGCCCCCCTTGGCAATTGTCCAAATAATGAAAACAAGAGCTTTGTGAGACTTATTCTTTTCAAACTTTATGGCGTCATTTATTAAACTAACTTCCTTTTCATTGCAAGATGGAAAACATTTTTACTTCTTTTGGATGATTATGCCTTGTGGCTTGAAAGGAAAATTCATTCAACAAAGCAGCTACTATGTTTATATGTCAGGCAGTGATGACTGAGGCAAAGTCATTGCACTGTGGCTCTTACAGTCTAGAGAAAATAAAAACATTTTATAAAAGCCATGTATAATGATATAACTGTTTATGTAAGATTGTGAAACAATGTAAGAAGTTGAAAGAGAGAGTTTGACCCTTTAAGACAGGAAATCGTTTTGGCCACCGCCTCTTGTTCTAACTGAAGAAGGAATCAACAAACACTGCTCAGCAGTGAGCGATGATGAAGAAACTGGCAGATGGTTTCCTGGGACTGGGTATCTCTGTACTAAAAGACTGATGAGGATTTTAAAAGATGCTTATTTTGCTGAATTAAGATTAAACCTTAAAATAGGAAAGGAGAATAAAGTACGGTTTGAGACTTCTGTCAGGTTTCTCTCCTAAAAACAGATTGACTAGTGCTGTGAGAAGCACTTCTAAAGAAAATCAATATATGCTCAGCAAGGAGCAAGTAAGTTGTTTTTTGTTTGTTTGTTTTTAACTAATGGACTTTTAAAAGTAATTTTAGGTTCACAGCAAAATTGAGTAGAAAGTACAGAGAGTTCCTACTTACTGCTTTTCTCCACACATTGACAGTCAGGCACCAGTGTGGTAGAATAATAAGCTTTTAATAGAATGTTTATCTTTGTGTTTTTCCTGATCTCTTCTATCAAAACATTAGCCTTTTTTTTTTTTGTACATGACTTAAAATCCTTTTTTTAAATTTGGAATTAGAGTTTATAAGTGAGTATTTTGACATCCATATTTTCTGACAAAATGACTTTCACTTTCCCAAGTTCCCAGGCTATTTTTGCTTTCTCCATCCCACCCCTACCCCTTGTTAGAATGTTAGTATGTATACAGATTGGTTTTTTTTAATATTAACATTAAATCAGGGACATTCTTCAGTGCCACTGAATTTTTTTTTCAACATAATTTTGATAGCATGGTTTTACTTCATGGAAAAAATGGAAGATTGCAAATTGTTAAATTTTCAGTTAAATATAACCGGCCCTTGAAATTCAGCTCCTTGCATTTTATTAGGAACTTGATTTTTATTTTCCTTTTTGCACCATCACTATAGTAATGGGATTAAAGTTAAAACCAGCAAATTTAAGCAGATATTTCTATTTAAGCAGATATTTCTATTTAAGCAGCTGTGATTAGAAAAGCAGATTGAATTCACTGAAGAAATGAAGTATCTCCAGATTTTATTTTACTGTCTCCTTCCCCATATATCTGTTAATATAATCTTTTTAGATTCGAGGATTTCAACAAGTTACTTCATGTTTTCTCAAAGATTTATTTTGGGTCTATAATTACTTGCCTCGAGATCTTCCATTTTAAGTTAATTACTATAAAATATTTTTTACTGTTACTAAATACCTCAACTCTCAGTGTTAACCTTTTTTTTCTACCTTTTTGTTGGGTTTCAAATCATTGATATTTTCAGATTTCATAGTCTATAAGGTATGGCTTTTTAAAGCTGTGTAGTCCCATATTTTAACGTAAGATGGCAGCATTGAGATAAATGTGTAGTGACACCAAGTGATTTTAGTTATTTGGTCAATTAGCCCATTGTAACAGGGGAAACTTGCTGCTTTAAAGTTCTTAGAAATGTACGCCAATTCTAGGTGTTTTTGCCAACTTTTTGAAGTCACAGTTCCATGGAGTTTAGCCAGGGGTATCAGGAATCTTTTCAGTGCTAGGAATCTCTGTAGTGTTGAAAGATACTGGCTAAATATTTTTTTTTTTTTTTTTTTTTTTTTTTGGAGACAGAGTCTCGCTCTATCCCCCAGGCTGGAGTGCAGTGACATCGTCTCGGCTCACTGCAACCTCTACCTCCCAGGTTCAAGTGATTCTCATGCCTCAGCCTCCCAAGTAGCTGGGATTACAGGCACCTGCCACCATGCCCAGCTAATTTTTATATTTTTAGTAGAGAGACAGGGTTTCGCCATGTTGGCCAGGCTGGTCTTGAACTCCTAACCTCAGGTGGTCTGCCTGCCTTGGCCTCCCACAGTGCTGGGATTACAGGATTACAGGGGTGAGCCACAGTGCCCGGCCACATACTGGCTAAATATTAATAAGTAAAAGTTTATATAACTAGCCTGGCTGTACTCTGAATTCATATTCAAATGTCCAGCTGCCTTTTGAATAGACACTTTTTGACTATCACTAGATTGTAGGTCTACTAAGTAGTTATTCATTATTTCTGCACAATTATTTTACCTTTGTACATTTTTTTTTAAAACTATTCTTGTTGAATTGTATCCAGTTTTGTAAGAATCACTCTTAAATCTGTTGTCATATCTATTCTTGTCATAGTTGGAGAGTATACCTACTCTGTGCTGACCCCAACAGTAGAACCGGAAGGCAAATCTTGTTTCAGTTACTATTTTAAAAAAAGAAACCTCACACACACAAAACCCCACAACTTTTTAATAACTGTTAAATAAGTAGAATAGGCTGTTTTGTGAAGTAGTAAGTGTCCTATTTTAGAAATATGCTAGTTGAATCTGGATAACTGTGTCAGAGATTCTATGGAAGAAATGCTTCTACCACCTAAGAGGTTAGGAAATTATTTCATGGCTCCATAACTAAAGGCTCAGTTCATTTCAATTCAGCAAGCAGTTTTTGAGCACATACAATGTGTGGTCACAATGCTAGGCATTGGGAATACATAAACATGGATAAGAAGTTATACCCGCTACATCCAAGGGGCTCTCAGTCTAGTAAGGAAGATGTCTTAAGAAAGTAATTTAGTCAAAAGCGAAAGGATGCTTGGGAAAGTAAGTCATCTCTGCAGTTCATGGTAGTTGGAAATGGCTTCTGTGTGGATGTAAGATGTAAGGTGAGCCTTAATCATTGACACTGTAGTGTAATGGAATTTGCATTGGCATAGGATTATTAAAACTCAAATCCTTGTTCAGCGTTTCCTAACCAAAATTTTGTCATCTTTAAAATTCAGGTAATACTCATGTTTCAAGGTGTTGAGAAGGTTGAGTGGAGTTCTGTGTTCATGTATGTCTGTGTACCACACAAATACATGTAAAGACACATTTATCTTTTACTACTATGCTTTACACAATTAAGTATTTTATTAATTGTTATTAATACCATCATGACAATCATTCCAGGCAAAATTTGGCTAGAGAAGAATAAGGAAGACATCAAGGAAGAAGAGTATTGAGCAAAGGCCTATGTGGGAATGAAAATGTAAAATGCCCAAGTTAATTTGATGGTTTGAGTTAGACAGTGTTGGGAAATAAGCTGTTAGGGTGTTATCTATGCCAGAGAAAAACAGTATACTTTACCTGTCATCTAGATGCTGATTTAAAAATTTTCCTGGCCTGGCGTGGTGGCTCAGACCTGTAATCCCAGCACTTTGGGAGGCCAAGGCAGGAGGATCGCTTGAGCCCAGGAGTTTGAGACCAGCGTGGGCAACAGGGGTAATCCCTACCTCTACAAAAGAAAAAAAAAATTAGCCAGGCGTGGTGGCATGTGCCTGTAGTCCCAGCTACTCACGAGGCTGAGGTGGGAGGATCACCTGAGCCAGGGAGCTCGAGTCTAGGGTGAGCCGTGATCATGCCACTGTACTCCAGCTTGGGCAACAGAGCAAGACCCTGTCTCTAAATAAATAAATAAATAAATTAAGATTGTTCCTATTTCTGCTTTAGTTATTTGTGTTAATTTTAAATAAGTTCCATGTATTCTGAGGTTTACACTTAAACATCTCTCTCCTTAATTAGAACATAGACAAGTAAAGTCTATTGTTATTTTTCAAGAATATTTGGACAAATCTATTGAAATAAATATACAGCGTTTTCCAGGTTATCTTTGATAACCCACTATGTTCAGGTTATTTGGCTGGCAACAGAGGGTATATACAAAGATGAATGCATTGAAATTGTCTCCAAACTCAAAGTTTAGAGAACACTTATAATAGCACTAAAACAGATAAAAACAAAATTACTGAGAGAGAATTAATTTGAACTCTTTGGGGTTTGGTAAAGGCTTTATGAGGAGTCTTTGAAGTAGGCTACCAAAGACTTTTCTTTCACTAATCTCAGCATATCAGCTCTTAGTAATTGTTTTGATGTGTTTTTTAATAACTCGATTGAGGTATAATTCATGTAAACTGTACATATTTAAAGTGTACAATTTGGTCAGTTTTTACATATATATATACGCCCATGAAACCATCACCATAATCAAGATAAAATATCCATCACATCCAAGTTTCTTTGTGACCCTTTCTAATTCACTTTCTACCCCCATTTTCAGGTAACACTGATACACTTTCTGTCACTATACATTAAGTTGTATTTTCTAGGATTTTATATAATGGAATCATAGTGAATTTTTTTTTGTTGGGCTTCTTTCACTCAACATAGTGATTGTAAGATTCATCTGTGTTGCTGATGAATCTAATAGTTCATTCCTTTTTAAGACCAAGTAGTATTCTGTTACATAGATCCACCACCATTTGTTCACCTTTTGATGAACATTTGGTTATTCACAGTTTTAAGGCTATTGCAAATAATGCTTCTGAATATTTGTGATCTTTGTATGTTATGATTTGATTTCTTGGGAACCTACCTAATTAGATGGAATGGTTGAGTCTTAAGTAGGTGTATTTTTCACTTTTTTTTTTTTGAGACAGAGTCTTACTCTGTTGGCCAGGCTAGAGTGCAGCGGCACGATCTTGGCTCACTTCAGCCTCTGTCTCGTGGGCTCAAGCAGTTCTCCTGGCTCAGCCTCCCAAGAAGCTGGGATTACAGGCATGTGCCACCACGCCCAGATAATTTTTGTATTTTTAGTAGAGATGGGGTTTCATCATGTTGGCCAGACTGGTCTCGAACTCCTGACCTCAGATAATCCACCCACCTCAGCCTCCCAAAGTGCTGGGATTACAGGCATGAGCCACCGTGCCCGGCCGTCTTTTTCACTTTTTAAGAAACTGCCAAACTTTTCCCACCAATGTATGAGAGTTTCAGTTGTTCCACATCCTGCCAACGCTTCATATGGCAGGTCTTTTTAATTTTAACCATTCTAATGGGTGTGTAGTAGTACTTTGTTGTGGTTTTAGTTTGCATTTTCATAATGATTAGTGATACTGAGCATCTTTTCATGTGCTTATTTACATCTATATATCTAGTTTGGTGAAGTCTTTATTTTGTGTGCTTTTTAATTGGGTTATCTTTATTACTGTTTGTGTGTGTGTGTGTGTGTGTGTGTGTGTGTGTGTGTGTTGTCTAGGTACAAGTCCTTTGTCAGATTTATGCTCTATAGGAATATATTCTCTTAGTCTATGGTTTGCCTTTCTTAAAAAATATATATATATTAATGGACTGATTTTGCCCCATTATTGAGGCATTTCACCCTGAGTATTTATATGTACCCTGTGTATTTTGAGGTTTTCCCACTCTGGCTTATGTGAAAACTATTCTGTTTTTTTGTGTTAGCTTTGGGAATTTTTTTTCTTTTTTTAGACGGGGTCTCACTCTGTTACCCAGGCCAGAGAACAGTGGTGCGATCATAGCTCACTACAGCCTCAACCTCCCAGGCTCAGGCAATCCTCCCACCTCAGCTTCCCAAGTAGCTGCGACTACATGCATATACCACCATGCCTGGCTAATCCTTAAAAAATTTTTAATACATGGAACTTATTTTTATTTATTTATTTATTTTTATTTTTTTCTCACTGTGTTGCCCAGGCTGGTCTCCTGGTGGGCTCAAGCAGTCCTTCCCCTCTGCTTCTGGAGTCACTGGGATTATAGATAGGAGTAATCTGTAATTAGCTCTGCTAATTTTTTTTTTTTTTTTACCTATTCCTTTTCAATGTTTTTTCTCCGGGATTTGGATAGTTTTCTCATACGCATGTGCTGTTCAGTGCCAGCTGAAAATTTGAGGGAGCCCCTGCTGGTCTGCAGCACTCTCTTCTCAGGTACTCCTGCTGTGAATTCAGCCAGTGTGGCCTCCCTAAATTCTCACTCCCATCTCAGCTGCTCAGGGCGACTTCCCGAGCTGTTTGGGCATCCCCTCCCTGTGCCATAGTCTGGAA
Source organism: Homo sapiens (assembly GCF_000001405.40). Classification (NCBI taxonomy): domain Eukaryota; kingdom Metazoa; phylum Chordata; class Mammalia; order Primates; family Hominidae; genus Homo; species Homo sapiens. The sequence goes on from NC_000010.11 coordinate 87,538,363, forward strand.
ACTCGGCAGTAAGCTGGGGCAGTTGTTGGAGTCACCTCCTTTGCCTTCCTTTTCTTATAACTATTGTTGAGTGTCTGAAACTTTGTATGTTTTGTTCAGCTTTCTGGTACTTTAAGGTAGGACAGTAAATCTGGTCCCTATTACTCCGTCTTGACTGGAAGTGGAAACTGTTTCAGTGTATTTTTGCTTGAGGAAGAAAAATGTCATACTTGAGTCATTTTAGTTCTTGATTTATGTTAAGCTGTTGGATTGGTGCTTCTCCAAATACTCACTGGAACTGATGTTTCAATTAGATGTGGAAGACTTAACAACAAATTTTTTTCTGGTAATTTTCTTCCCAAAGCATCTGGCAGTTCATGTTGCTTATTTGTATACTTACATAAATATGGGAATTATATGAGTTGTGTAAAGCTGTATTTGATATTCCTGGATCATGTTTAAAAACATACTTTGCATAACATCAATTGAGTGTGAAACGTGAATTAAGAGCTTAGAAAGATCTAGCTGAGTACATTTGGGGGGAAAACATGCAATTATTAGTTGTTTTTTCTGGTTGAGCTTTTTGAATAACTTGAAGTAGTTGCTTTGTATCCTTTATCTACTTTGAACACACACATAGTTATCAACCCTCATTAAAAGACAGGATTTTAGACTTAAACTTTGTTTTTGGTTGAAGACATAATAAAATCTCCTCACCAATTTCTGTAAGTAAAAGGAGGGGTGTAATTTGGAGAACTGCAGTAATCCTCTTAACCATTTTCACGCTGTTATTCCTAAAATAAGAAGGGTTGACCAGATCTCAAACCTAAAACATTATGATTCTGTATATTTCTATCCAGACATTTATATAGATTACTCATTTGCTTTCATATATTTGTATTAATAGTTTACATTTTCAAGCAAAATATGTATCTTTTCAAGTGGTTTTGTCACTTTTTGGAAAATGCAACATTCCAAGTTTAATGCATTTTTATCAAGGAGAGAGCAGAGTTAAAGGTGTAATTCCTTTTCTTTGGGATACTTCTGCCAAGAGTCTCAAAGAAAGAATAGTCATTACAATGTAATGGGGGATGTAAGTTAATTTGAGAACTATGACTAGTTGGATCAGAATGCAGAGCATCTGAATTTTTCTTAATTTGGTGTTAAATATTCATTCTACTTAGACATTTTAAATATAGTATTAGGACAAAATTATCAGACATTTGTGGAATATATATGACTTTGGGGATATAAACCAATATGGGACAGAATTATAGACACATTATTCCTCAGGATGTCACATTGTAATATATAGCACGGGGATTCTTGGGGTATAGAGTCTGAAATCCCAAAACTATATTTAAGTTTTTATGGACCACATGCCTTTCTTTAGTACGAAGTTCCATTTTCTTAGATTCTCAGATGGTTTCATGTCCTTTGTGAAAGTTAAGAACCACAGATGCAGTGAGGATTGAGTGATTGCTTTGGCAGCCCTCCTTTAAAAAACATTTACCTCTTCCTGTATTTTTTGCTTGTTTGTTTGTTTTGAGACAAGGTCTTACTCTGACACCCTGGAGTGCAGTGGCGTAATCATGGCTTATTGCATCCTCGACTTCCTGGGCTCAAGTGATCCTCATACCTCAGCCTCCCAAGTAGCTGGGACTACAGGCATGCGCCACAGCGCCTGGCTAATTTTGTGGGGAGTTTTCGTAGACACAAGGTCTCTCCATGTTTCCCAGGCTAGTCTCAAACTCCTGGGCTCAAGCAGTTCTCCCATCTGAGCCTCCCAAAGTGCTGGGATTACAGGCGTGAGCCACCATGCCCAGCTTATTCTTCTGTTAAAGGAAAAACTTGGTCCTTTCTGTCATGGTATCCTGAACCTCACCACTCTGTTTATTGAATGGTAGTGACAAAGCCACATGAGACCATAGATAAAATATAGCAATCTTTATGCTCTTAGCAATCTTATGACAAAATACATGCAAGAGGTTTTATATAAGAAGAGCATAATTATGAGTATAAACTGAGAAGGAATTCGTTTCACATTTGTTGTGTTTTTTGCCCTCCTATACCTACATGCCTATGTTTCTCTCTCTTTCTCCTCTCTGTCAGTCTCTCTCCTCTCTCTGTCTCTGTCTCTGTCTCTCTCTCTGTCACACACACACACACACACACACACACACACTTTCTTACTCCCTCATTCAGACATATACACATGCTCATACCCATTTATTGTTGCCAGTATTTTGGGCTTGTTCATAGACCAGCTTTGGTTTGTTGGAGAAGGTTGGAAGTGAAACCAGAAAAGTTGTCATACCATCTTTGTGATTTTGGTGTATTCAAAGAGAAACTGGAGATTTGGTTCCTTCAAATAGTGATTGGGCATATACTAACTGGAGTTCCTAGGAGATGGTTTAAGAACCAGATTGGACTCTTTTAAGATTAACTCTAAATTGTGACACAGGGCAAAGAGCAGCATGTTCATAGACTTGGAACCAAATCACTTCTTCATAGAAATTAGTGATTTACTTTATACAGTCCTGGCATATACCTTTAATGGCTTCTGGTAAAAATTGGATCATAAATAAATACTTTTGTGAATTTGTTTTTCGGTGTTTAAAAGTTATAAAAACAAACAAACCCTACTGTATGTGCACACACACAAACTCCACAGCTGTCTCAGCTTCCACCAGTTGAAGGTATCCAAGTCTCCATTTTTGGTGTCTGTATACTTGCAATAGAAACATAATTTGTTTTTCCATTTGACACTATGCTACTTAACTTTGTCAAAGAAAATAGAAATGTGAGTAATCCTTATAAATGGGCAAACACAGCTATTTAAGAAGGATTATATATTAGCTCTTTGGAAGCTCTTTTGGTCATAGATAATTACCTGGAGGCAGTTGTTTTTTTATATACCCGAGTTTGATATTTTGCCAGTTGAGTTTCAAACAATGAAGTAGAAATTTGTTTATATATTGCTTAGTCATTCTTGTTCATAAGAAGAGCATTCTGAAATTCTTAACTATGAATGGGACCTTGATTTGAACCATATAGTTTAAAATGCCTGAAAAATTATTGGCTAAGTCCTCTTGAATTTTATACCTCATGATTATGAGTTAGATGTTTTACTTATTCCTTCTTTGGGAGTTGTTTGGAAAAAACTCAAACCCTGTTTTTCCTCTGCCTTCACACCAACACAACAATAGTCAACACAACTTCTGCGTTAGTCCATTCTTGCATTGCTATAAAGAAATACCTGAGGCTGGGGAAGAGACACTTAATTGGCTCACAGTTCTGCAGGTTGTAAAAGCATGGCTCCAGCATCTGCTTCTGATGAGGGCCTCAGGAAGCTTACAGTCATGGTGGAAGAGAAAGGGAGCCAGTGTACCACATGGTGAGAGCAGGAGCGAAAGCGAGAGAAGGAAGAGGTCCCAGGCTTCTTTACACAACCAAATCTCATATGAACTAACTGAGCAAGAACTGACTTGTCACCAAGGGGATGATGCTAAACCATTTGAGAGGGATCCTCCCCCATGTCCCAGTCTCTTCCCACCAGGCCCTACCTCCAATGTTGGGAATCACGTTTCAACATGAGATTGGGAGGGGACAAACATCCAAACCATATCATTCCAACCCTGGCCCCCTAAATCTCATATCCCCACATTTCAAAATACAGTCATGCCTTCACAATAGTTCCCCAAGTCTTAACTCATTCCAGCATTAACTCAAAAGTCCCAAGTCTGAAGTCTACAAAGTCTCATCTGGAGATGAGTTTCTTCCACCTGTGATCCTGTGAGATCAGAAATGAGTTATTTACTCCCAAGATACAGTGGTAGTACAGACATTTGGTATACCTCCTATTCCAAAAGGGAGAAATCAGCCAAAAGAAAGGGGCAGTAGGCTCTGTGCAAATCTGAAACCAGCAGGGCAGTTGTTAAATCTTTTTTTCTTTTTCTTTTTCTCTCTCTCTCTCTTTTTTTTTTTAAACAGAGTCTCACTCTCTTGGCCCAGGCTGCATGATCACAGCTCACTGCAGCCTTGACCTCTCTGGCACAAGCCATCCTCCCACCTCACCCTCCCAGGTAGCTAGGACCTCAGGAGTGCACCACCATGCCTGGCTAATTTTTGTATTTTTAGTAGAGACCGGATTCCGCCATGTTGGCCAGGTTGGTCTTAACCTCCTGAGCTCAAGTGATCTGCCCACCTCAGCCTCCCAAAGTGCTAGGATTACAGGTGTGACCCACTCTGCCAAGCCAGTCTTTAAATCTTAAAGCTTCAAAACAGTTTCCTTCTTGCCATGTGAAACCTGCTTCCCCCTTGCCTTCCGTCATGATTGTAAGCCTCCTGAGGCCCTCCCCAGAAGCAGATGCTAGAGCCACGCTTCCTGTACAGCCTGCAGAACCGTAAGCCAAAATACACTTGTTTTCTTTATAAATTACCCAGTCTCAGGTATTTCTTTATAGCATTGCAGAAACGGACTAACACAAAATTGGTACCAAGGCATGGGGCACTGCTATAAAGATACCTGAAGATGTGGAAGTAGCTTTGGAACTGGGTAAAAGGCAAAGGCTGGAAGAGTTTGGAGGGCAAAGAAGACAGGAAGATGAAGAAAAATTTGGAACTTCTGAGAGACTGGTTAAATGGTTGTGAACAAAATGCTGATAGCGATATGAACAGTGAAGTCTAGGCTGATGAGGTTCCAGATGGAAGTGAGGATGTTATTGGGAACTAGAGCAAATGTTACCCCTGTCACATCCTAGCAAAGAACCTGGCTGTACTGTGTGCCCTAGGGATACCCTCATCAGTTTTTCCTCATTCAAGATGTGGCCTGGCTGCTTCTAACAGCCTATGATCTAATATGGGAGCAAAGAAATGACTTAAAGTTAGAACTTATATACAAAAGGGAAGCAGAGTGTAAAAGTTTGGAAAATTTTCAGTCAAGCCATGTGGTAGAGAAAGAAAAAGTATTTTCAGGAGAAGAATCCTAGCAGGCTGTGGAGCAACCACCTGAAAAAGAGGTTATCATGGCCAGGGCACAGTAGCTCATGCCTGTTAATTCCAGAACTTTGGGAGGTCAAGGAAGGAGGATCACTTGGGCCCAGGAGTTCAAGACCACTCTGGGCAAGAAAGTGAGACCTCATCTCTACAAAAAATAAAATAATTAGCTGGGTGTGGTGGTGCATGCCTGTAGTCCCAGCTACTCAGGGGCAGAGGCGGGAGGACTGTTTGAGTCTGAGGGGTCAAGGTTGCAGTGAGCTATGATCACTAAAATGAGTTTGGTCATTTCTAAGACACTGGATTATAAGACATATTAAAAGAAGATGTTTTAAGTTAGTATTATGTCCAGGTAAGGTTTCTTAAAAATAAATTTTTTAAAAAGAAAACAAAGTTAGTTTTATGAGAGAAGGGGGAGGCCCCAGACTCTTAAACAACCAGATTTCATGTGAACTGAGAAGTCACTCATCACCAAGGGGATGGCACTAAGCCATTCAAGAGGGATCCATCCCCATGATTCAGTACCTCCCACTAGGTCCCGCCTTCAACATTGGGGATCACTTTTCAGCATGAGATTTGGAGGAGACAAACATCCAAACTATATCAACTTCTGTGACCCAGTGTTGGGGGATGGGGGTTCCCCACCAATAAGCAGCAGACACCAGCTAGGTATCCTCTAATTTTGACACTATCTGCCTGGATGTAGCATCAGATCTTACAAGTTGAGGACTCAATCCCCAAGATTGCCCCCTGCCCTTTTCAGACACCAGTCATAAGTCTGGGCCTCTGGAACACCTGACTGACTGGCTTCAAGTTGGGGTTTTCACAGCCCCCTCTTTGGGTTCACTTAATTTCCAGGAGTGGCTCACAGAGCTCAGGAAAACATGTTTACCAGTTTAGTATAAAATATTACAGAGGATACAAATGACACATAAAATGAGGTATGGGGGAAAGGATGTGGAGCTTCCATGCCCTCCCAGGGCCACACCGCCCTCCAGGAACCTCCACATTTTCAGCTGTCCATAAGCTCTCCAAACCCTGTCCTCTTGGGTTCTTATGGAGGCCTCATTACTTAGACATGATTAATTAAACTATTGGCCATTGGTGATCAACTTGACCTTCAGCCCCTCTTGCTCTTCCCTGAGGTTGAGGGATGGGCTTGAAAATGCTAACCCTGTAATCATGCCTTTGCCTTTTTGCTGACCAGCTCCATCCTGAAGCTATCAATCAACATGAGCATGCAAAAAGACAGCACTTTGGAGATTTCAAGGATTTTAGGAGTTTTGTACCAGGAAACAGGAACAAAGACCAAATATATATTATATTTCACAATATCATTGGAACCTTAAGAAAGAAGCCTCTCTCCTTTCTTACGGAGCCTAGAGGAATAAAGATAATAATAAAGATTACTTTATTTATGAATAGTAATACTTTACAAAGTAATCTTTATTATCTTTATTCTAGTTTGCCCTTGAACCATTAAAGGTTACTAAGTTGAATTCAGGCTGAGAAAAACAAAATAGCAAAGAAAAACATTTATGTTTGAGATTTTAGTGATTTATATTCTGAGATGTTATGTAATGGAAATACTTTTGAGATAAAGCAAAAAATACTTAACATTCTTTTAGTTGTTGCAACTTATTTAAGAGTGTGTGTAATTCTTACCCTTGAAACCTCAACCTAGACATTTAGTGAATTCTGTTTTTGAAATGGGAAAATCAAGAATAAAGTCAGATTTTAAAAATTGTATAAAACATGTAGTTGCTAAAATGTAATTTTAAGTCCTCCTTAGGGTTTCAGTTTTATGAACCCTATGTCCTCCTTAAGGTTTCAGGAAACCTCCTTAGGGTTTCATGTTGATAGCATATTATATGAATTATTATGGCAGTTTTTTCTATTTTATAAGTTGTTTTTCTCTGAGATAAAATTTCTCTAAGTGGGATTTTTAATATTCAAGCTTTCTTGACTTTTTTTTTAAAAAAGACATAAACCAAACCAAGTATATTCTTACCTGTATCTAGTAAAGATTTGTGTACATACATTTAGGAGTGATTTATACATATGTCTTGAAGTGATAATTTGTTTTAGGTGATTATATGTTTTATACATGTTTGTGTTATACTTCACCAGTAGTGATATTGTCAAGCAAAAAAAAATATGCAGCATCATAAAATTAACTTTGTTTTCTTTTTAAAAAATTTATTCTTAAGAAACCTTACCTGGACATAATACTAACTTAAAATATCTTCTTTTAATATGTCTTATAATCCAGTGTCTTAGAAATGACCAAACTCATTTTAGTTATATCTAGGAAATCAAAGGTAAAGATGGAGAGATTGGCAAGGAGAGGAGGTTCATGAATTGAGAGTAGAATGTGTAAGAAGCATGAAATAGATCACATCGAGTCTGGATACAACCTCAGAATCCTTCTCAATGCAGTGTTCCAAATAGCTATTAATTACTGATTGGAGATTTGGCCCAGATACTGGTTTTATGACTAAAAGTTGTCATTTATTGACATATTCTCTTTCTTCTAAGCAAGAGTAAAAATTTAGATGCATACACCCTTGTCTTTGTTCATCTGCTTAGAGGCTTACATCATTAGTGATCATGTCGTGGGGCAAAATTGGGATTCAGCCCCGGAGGCCACATGGTTCTTGGCTTCACGGAGGCAAGAATTCAAGAGTGAGCCAAAAGACTAGAGCGAAAGCAAGTTTATTAAAAAGTAAAGGAATAAAAGGGAGGCTGCCACATAGGCAGAGTAGCCTTGAGGGCTGCTGGTTGGCTATTTTTTATGGTTATTAATAAATAATAGCATAAATTAATCGTATGCTAAACAAGGAGTGGATTATTCATGAGTTTTCTGGGAAAGGGTAGGGAATTGTCAGGACCAAGAGTTCCTTCCCTTTTTAGACCTTATAGGGTAACTTCCAGGAGTTGCCGTGGCATCTGTAAACTGTCACGGCACAGATGGGAGTGTCTTTTAGCATGCTAGTGTATTCTAGTTAGCACATAATGAGCAGTGAGGATCATTGAGGATGAGCAGAGGTCACTGTCTTTGCCCTCTTGATTCTGGCTGGTTGTGGCTGGCTTCTTTACCACATCCTGTTTTATCAGCAGGGTCCTTGTGACCTGTGTCTTGAGAAACACGTTCTGCCGAATTATCTCAATCAGCTTTTTATAGAACTGTGCTTTTCACTGAATATTTTTTTCTTATTGCACGTTCATTTCAGATGAAAAACCTGAGAAATGTGGTCTTCGCCTTTGCGTTGGAAAAGAATTGATGCCTTATTTAAGAAACAATCAGCTAGGTGTGGTGGTTCACACCTATGATCCCAGCACTTTGGGAGGCCGAGGTGAGAGCATCACTTGGGGCCAGGAGTTCAAGACCAGCTTGGGCAACAAGCTAAGACCCCGTTTCTACAAAAAAAAACTTTAAAATGAGTTGGGCATGGTGGTGCACTCCTGTGGTCCTAGTTACTTGGGAGGCCTACGTGGGAAGAGTGCTTGAGCCCAGGAGGTCGAGGCTGCAGTGAGCCATGATCACACCACTGTATTCCAGCCTGGGTGACAGAGCGAGCTCCTGTATCTTTAAACAAAAACAAGGAAAAAAATATCATTTAAAAAAAATTTTGTGGGATTTTACATGTGCTTTTGCCAAATTGCATGTTGCTGAAGAGTGTTACTAAGCACTGACAACAGAGTCTTCCTCAGTCATTATGTTGAAATACTATGTTTCTTCCCACAAATAAGAACTGATTTGATTTTAAATTATTATTATTTTTTTTCCAAGACAGATTCTTGCTCTGTCACCCGGGCTAGAGTGCAGTGACGTGATCTTGGCTCACTGTGACCACTGCCCCCTGGGTCAAGTGATTCTTCTGCCTTGGGCTTCTGAGTAGCTTGGACTACAGTCATGTGCCACCACACCCAGCTAGTTTTTTTGTATATTTGATAGAGATGGGATTTTACTAGGTTGGCCCACCTGTTCTCAAACTCTTGGCCTCAAGAGATCTGCCCATGGCCTCCCTAAGTGCTGGGATTACTTGATTTTAAATGATTTTAATCAGCAATGGTTTGAAAGTAAATTTAAGTGACTAAGAAGTGACTAAGTTCCTAAATTATTTACTCTACTCCTCATAAACAAGTATTTTCTTATAAAAGGCATTAAGGTTTTTCCAAGTAAAATTTTTTGGTATAAATTGTTTCCATACAATTTAATTTATGGTATACCTGTGGTTTTGCTTTTGCATTTGGATCTTTAGCACTTTTGGATATCTGATGAATTTTAACATATGCTATTCAATGAAATGAGTTTGTTACTTGATACCGTGTTTACCTTTAGAATAAAGTGTTAGGTACTAATATTTTAGGAGAACTGACTTGAACTCATCTCCTGGATTCTAAACTCAGCACACCACTAATTTGTGTGCTGGGTCACTTCACTGCTAGAACTGCTGTGGCTTTTGCTGCCACTGTGGCTGTTTGCTATCACAGATTGATTGATGGCTCTGTGGCAAACACTACCATAGAGCCATCGATCAATATGTGATAGCAAATATGTGAGTATTTTTCTGTAGCTCAAATCCAACAGCTTTGCAAGGGAAGTAGCTTATCTTCATTTGGCAGGAATGAAGCCTGAGAGAGATTGAGTCATTTGCCCTAAAATTTGCTCATAACCAAGTTATGCCCTGTAGTTTTCAAGCTTCTTAGTTTTTCCCTCTCTAAAAGGGTATGACAGAACCTGTATCATAGAGTAAGCAATTACTTTGCTAAGGCTACACAGAGCAGCATTTCTGTTTTAAGACTTAGTAGGAGTGTATTCATGACCCAGCTCAAACACCACCTCCTCAGCAAAGCGCATTCAATTCTTCCTTAGTCACAAGGATTTGTTCTCTGGGTTTCTCTAACAGACACATGCGAATCTGAAAGAGCCAGAAATGTTTCATTTGTGTTTTTGTTCTTTTATCCCACTATTCTTCTCCCCTCCCCTCCCCCTCCAAGAAGAAACTAGCATGGTGCCTGGCACTTGGCATGAAATGACAGAGCCTGTCACATCTAACAAATTAACCAAATGGGTCTTTTGAAAAGTCTCTTCTTTATTACGTTTTGGAAAACTGAGTGCAGCTTATTTGCCCAGGGGCTTTTGTATGAATATGAGCATCATCAGCTAGCGGCTTTTTCTTGAGTAGCAAGCTATGTTAAGTCACAAAGGGTAAAAGTAAAAAAATAATTATTATGAATGAAATTGTGCTCTTTTTTAATACTTTCCATTATCACAAACTTAAAATATTTATACTTGGTTATTGTAAAAATATATAAATTATAAAAATAAAATTATAAGTGTATTATTCCCTATAGGCACATTTCAATTTCTAAGCAAAATCTTGTTTTTGCTTTTAATGGCTCTACTTTTTTTAAACTATTACCCTTGTCTTATTATTGTTTTACTAGTGCATTTAACTAGACCTTTAAGATATTGGGGGTTTTTGGTGTGTTTCAAATTTGTATAATAGACATTGCTCTATGTAAGAAGATAATCAATACTTACGGACTTTATAAAAAGTTAGCACTTTTCCTTCCTATTGAAAATTGTCTGGAATTCTAAAATACAATTTTAAAACAAATTGGATTCATCAAATGGTAGAAGACAGTAATTTATTTTTGATGGGATGGTTTACTGTGAGAATCTAATATATAAACTTCCTTGATTTCCCATAAAACTTCCAGTAAGCATTTTTAAGTATAATTTTCCTCAAATTTCTTCTGAAGAATTCACTGATTTTAACATATCACTGACAGTAAGGCAGTAAAAAAAGGGGGGAAGGTGTTTACTGCCTTTTGTATAAACCCAAGGAACCTTGAAATTTACAACTTAAATTTGAGTCACAGTCTAGATTTCATTTCTTCTGTAGCTTGAATGCAATTAATAGAACTTTGAACTCATAATTTGTGCATAGCTCTTTTGGTCTCTTTCCTTCCCCCAATTTATAGTTTTCATGTGTGTGTTTTTATTTGTCTTGTATCTTTTCTCCTATTTGCTATTTATTTGATTAACTTTTGAATCTAAGTATGTAAGACTGTCCATACCACTGTCTGTCCTGTGCTCTCCAACACAGTAGCCACCAGCAACATGTGATTGTTTGGTGCTTAAAAAGCAGCTGGTCTGAGCGAAGCTGTCCATACTGTAAATTATGCACTGGATCTCAGACACTTGGTAGAAAAAAGAATGTAAAGTTTACTAATGGCGTATAAATTACTTGCTGAAATGACAATAGTTTGGATATATCGTCATATCTTGTCCCCAGTTTATTAGAGTTCTTCTGTGGGGGAAAGAGGAGAGAGTTACTGACAGTAAATTCTTCTGGTTAGACAGTGGAGGTGTTGCTGCTGTTGCTGCTATCCTCCCTGACCTGTTTTGTGTGCTAATAGATTCCATGGAGAGCAATAACTGAAAGTTGAATTTAGGATTGCTTCTGGCTTTGAGGTTTCTGCCTAATGGCTAAAGGATTTAAAATGTAAACCAGTATATTTATATTACTTGTTTTTCTTTTAACTTGTATCCTTATTAAATTTCATTATTTAGATGGTGACAGTAGTGTTAGTTTAGACTTGAATATACTCAGATGTATAAAGGGGCCAGGCAAGTAACAAAGGAATGAATTCATCCTATGTTAGACAATGTGGAATGATACATGTGCTGTGTAACAAGTATATGCCCTCTCTACAGGGTGGGTAACCTTATTCCTGTTTAGCTGATTATGGTCTTACGGGTATATATGGACTTGTGTTGCCAGATCTTTCAGATTTCTAAGAAGAGCAAAAATCTGGATTTTTAAGAATCTTAAACCTCTCAATTTTTAAATACTGATAAGTAATGTAAAATTTAAAAATACTTATGCTGGTCAAACTAAATATGGCTGTGTTCTGAATGCTACCGCTTGGTAACTTCAGACCTAAGAGATTGCTTCTTGGAAATAAATACAGGTTTTAGGTATTTTAGATGACCTAATTAAAGTATACCAGTTATGAAGAGAGGCTTGGTAAGCGCCTGTTGATGAATGGCTTTTAAGTTTTACACCTTTTAGAGAATATTAATCTGAAAGTAGTGAATAATTGTCTTTTAGTTTGTTTTGAAATACTGTTAACAGTTTCAGTGTACTTTTTGAGTATATATTTCTAGCGTACTCTTATATATGGAAGTTATTCTGCTCCTTATTTTTTCTTACATGCTTTTCTGTAGTTATTTTGATATGAATTGTTTTCCTGAACATTTAGAAAAAGGTTTGTGTCAGATTGCTTGTCTCATCTCACAGAGCCCCCCCGTTCTGGTGTGTGTACTGTTCAGAAGTATGATGGGTTGTTTTCTGAGATTTCCTGGCTCTGTTCCCCTCCCCCCACTTTCATCTAGACTTACTTTTTCCTTTATCTCTTCTGTCCCTCTCCTGCTTGGCTGAAATTCCACTCCCAGCAGTTTCTCTAGTGTGAGCCCTGTGTTTGGAGAGTTCACAGGAGCTCCAGGATTCTCTAGCCCCGGGCCTCACTGTAGGCCTGCCTTGCACTCACCAAGTCCTGGAGAGGACTAAATACTTCCCAATTTCAGCTGCTATATCCAGTTCACACACAGCGCTTCCAGTGAATACCTGTGGGCTGTTTGGGATTCTCTTGTTCTCAGATTGCTCAGATGCTCTGTGGCTTCTCTCTGCTTTCTTCAACAGATACTGATAATATCTAGTGCTTGAGGTTGGATGCTACTTGGAGTGGTTCATAGAGAATACTTTTCCACCTAGTTATGTTGTAAATGTTTCCCATGGGTTTTTGGATTTGCTATCTGCTTGCTGTGTTTGTGTGTGTTGGGGGCAGAGGGAATCAGGAAGGTCTAGAACTGCTGCTTCTATCCTCCCAGAAAATCCAGATGCACTAAATTGATAACCTGATGAGTGGTGGCAAAAAGTCAGACAGTCATGTTTGAATAGGTTTACAAATTATATTTAAGAAAAATATTATTTTTTCTATAAAGGTAGGGAAAAGGCTAAGCAGTCATTCACTGCTTCTTAATAAAAATTCTTTACCAGAAAAAAAAAATCATAGAAAACTTCAAGAAAAAGAATTGATTCAGCTCAGTGTTGAAAGTGGTTTGTATTCCTGGCACTTTATACTCCCACTCCCAACCAGAGACACATTGTTTCAGCCACAATAGGTTACATCACTAACCTTTTTTGGGTTTTGTAAACCATTAAGGATTACATGAATTACCATGTAATCCTGTTCAGACTTGGTAAGACATTTACTGAATATTGCTTGTTCTTATTCCCTAGATATAAATAAAATAATAACACTTTATTCAAAAGAGCTCCATGGAGTAATATTTACTAAGGGCCAGGTTGCTCAGTTTTATGCACAGAAAGGCAATACAGTGTTGAAATACACATCTGTTTCAAGTTCCCATATCTATAAGACACTTCTCTCTCTTTAAACTTAAAGGAAAATATGTATGCACACTTATATGGATTTACAACAGTACAGTGATCTGAATTTCGGAACTTAACTTTCAGTATAAAAAGTTTAGTTCTCTGCCACACGGAATTTCAGCCGTATGCTTGTGTAATGTATATAAAGATTTAAAAAAATAGATGGGATTATTTAAACTAAAAAAAGATGTGGAAGTTACTCCTAAGTGTAAATACTATGTTCTATGACATTAATATATATACCTTATTTTCTCTTAATTTCTATTTGAAGGTCTCAGCCAATTTCTTCTCCAGTCATCCTCCAGTTTGGTCATGCAGAGACTCTTCTTCCACTGCTTTCTCTCATGGGCTACTTCAAAGACAAGGAACCCCTAACAGCGTACAATTACAAAAAACAAATGCATCGGAAGTTCCGAAGTGGTCTCATTGTACCTTATGCCTCGAACCTGATATTTGTGCTTTACCACTGTGAAAATGCTAAGACTCCTAAAGAACAATTCCGAGTGCAGATGTTATTAAATGAAAAGGTGTTACCTTTGGCTTACTCACAAGAAACTGTTTCATTTTATGAAGATCTGAAGAACCACTACAAGGACATCCTTCAGAGTTGTCAAACCAGTGAAGAATGTGAATTAGCAAGGGCTAACAGTACATCTGATGAACTATGAGTAACTGAAGAACATTTTTAATTCTTTAGGAATCTGCAATGAGTGATTACATGCTTGTAATAGGTAGGCAATTCCTTGATTACAGGAAGCTTTTATATTACTTGAGTATTTCTGTCTTTTCACAGAAAAACATTGGGTTTCTCTCTGGGTTTGGACATGAAATGTAAGAAAAGATTTTTCACTGGAGCAGCTCTCTTAAGGAGAAACAAATCTATTTAGAGAAACAGCTGGCCCTGCAAATGTTTACAGAAATGAAATTCTTCCTACTTATATAAGAAATCTCACACTGAGATAGAATTGTGATTTCATAATAACACTTGAAAAGTGCTGGAGTAACAAAATATCTCAGTTGGACCATCCTTAACTTGATTGAACTGTCTAGGAACTTTACAGATTGTTCTGCAGTTCTCTCTTCTTTTCCTCAGGTAGGACAGCTCTAGCATTTTCTTAATCAGGAATATTGTGGTAAGCTGGGAGTATCACTCTGGAAGAAAGTAACATCTCCAGATGAGAATTTGAAACAAGAAACAGAGTGTTGTAAAAGGACACCTTCACTGAAGCAAGTCGGAAAGTACAATGAAAATAAATATTTTTGGTATTTATTTATGAAATATTTGAACATTTTTTCAATAATTCCTTTTTACTTCTAGGAAGTCTCAAAAGACCATCTTAAATTATTATATGTTTGGACAATTAGCAACAAGTCAGATAGTTAGAATCGAAGTTTTTCAAATCCATTGCTTAGCTAACTTTTTCATTCTGTCACTTGGCTTCGATTTTTATATTTTCCTATTATATGAAATGTATCTTTTGGTTGTTTGATTTTTCTTTCTTTCTTTGTAAATAGTTCTGAGTTCTGTCAAATGCCGTGAAAGTATTTGCTATAATAAAGAAAATTCTTGTGACTTTACTACCAGGACTTTTCTCTTCCCCATGTCAAAATACAATCAATAATTGATGGTAAAAGTTTGGAAATTCAAGCAGATTTGACTCACCTGGCAATTTTTTTTTATTTTTTATTTTTGTTATACTTTTAAGTTCTAGGGTACATGTGCACAACATGCAGTTTTGTTACATATGTATACATGCACCATGTTGGTATGTTGCACCCATTAACTTGTCATTTACATTAGGTATATCTCCTAATGCTATTCCTCCTCCCTCCCCCTACCCCACGACAGGCCCCAATGTGTGATGTTCCCCTTCCTGTGTCCAAGTGTTCTCATTGTTCAGTTCCCACCTATGAGTGAAAACATGCGGTGTTTGGTTTTTTGTTCTTGCGATAGTTTGCTGAGAATGATGGTTTCCAGCTTCATCCATGTCCCTACAAAGGACATGAACTCATCGTTTTTTATGGCTGCATAGTATTCCATGGTGTATATGTGCCACATTTTCTTAATCCAGTCTATCATTGATGGACATTTGGGTTGGTTCCAAGTCTTTGCTATTGTCACCTGGCAATTTAAAGCAATTTTCTTTGAATAGAAATTTCCTCAAATAATGGATTTGTTAATGCATTTTATTTTAATTCATATACACCTTAAAGGTAATATGTTTCAAAGGAAAATCTTAGATTTTTCTTAAAAATATGTGGTTACTCTTATTAAACGACATGCAGCAAAATCCCCTACTGGAGTCTCCTCTTACTAGTTTTACGGTACTTTGCTTTCGAGGAGACAGACCATAGGAAAACCAATACATGTTAAGGGTATCCATGTGCCTACGTACAGATTATGTACAGATTGTCATATGTGACTTGGATTAGGATATTTTCAAGCCAAACTTCAGTTGATAAAATTGGAAAAATCAGTTTGAGACTTAAAAAAAAAGGCAATAAGATCTTTTTTTATCACCCATAGTCGAAATATTTTCTAGTTAATGCTTAGTCATTTGTTTTTTAGCCAATGAAGTTATCATATGCTAATTTAGAGAAAAGATAAAAAGATTTTTAATGCTTTCTCTATTAGTAAGAAAACCTCATGTTGCTTTTGGTTTGCAAAATATGACCCAGGGACACCTTTAAAATGATATCATATTAACTGTTGGGTTATGTGACCTTGCCAATACCTTTTTGAATAGATCTTCTAAGGTTAAAAAAAAGTAGCACTAATGAGTAAGTAAAAGAAACAAGCTGACAAACATTGGGAGCTGTAAATATAGTATGTGTGCTCTGAAAAAATGAAAAAGGACCATTTCAACATGGGATTTTCAGAAACTGAATTATTCCCGAATGGATATGATACATAAAATATTCTCCTCAGAACACAAATTCTAGAAAGAAGATATAAATGTTAGAAAGAAAGGATCCTGGGTTGAAGTGACCTTGGGAAACATGGGGTTATCCTATGGAATGTCTCTGGCTTTTAATGTTCTATTGTGCGTTATGAATAAAGGAGGCATTATAGTAGATTACATTTTTTTCTATCTTGCTTGACCTGAGTACATTCTCATTTATAGTCATCATACATTGTAACTCCACAGCAGGAAAAGAGATGTCGTATTCTTCCAATGAAATTTAGATTTATAGTTTGAGTTCCATACTGGAAAACTTGAGAGGAGGTTAACTTTAAAAACTTTAACTATTTTGTCATTACTGAAATAATGTATTTTAAGATGAAAGGATTCTTAATTTTATTCTTTAAACTAGCCTCAATTCAACATCTTCCATGTACTACATTCTGTGACTCACCACCCTCTAGCCTGAAAGGAACCCAATGGCATGTGTTAGTTTAATCCAAAATTTTTCAAAGTTTCTCATTTATAATCTATGACAATTTACAATCTATGACAATTGTAAATGAGAATATACTTTGAAAAATTTTGGATTAAACTAACACTGCCATTTGGGTTCCTTTCAGGCTATAGGGTGGTGAGTCATGGAATTAAATACCAGTGGAGGAAAAATTGTACTCAATTGTATATTGAAATTATGAGATGCAGAGATCCCTGATCTTTAGATCAGAGATCTTCAAATGAATGATGTTTTATAAAATAGATGATTAGCTGGTAAATGCTGCTGGTGCATTTATACACACTGCTGATTCTGCAAAGTTCTGGTGTTCTCATTTCTTTAAAAAAATGTAAATATGCAGACAAGAAAACAAAATGATGAGCACCCATATACATCCTGTTTTATCAAAATTAACATTATAACATTTGCTTTAGATTTCAATAAGCTGTTTTGAGGACGTTTATATACCTCCATGATTCTATTACCCCTATACCCTGCCTAGAGGTAACCATCAACATAAAATTCAGTATTCATCATTGCACTGCATACTTGATTCTGGAAACTTGCAGTATTGTGGGAGTTTTAAATTTTTCTATACAAAGACTTACATTCTCTGTATCATTCTTGCATTAGTAATTTATTTTAACTGCTCTGTTTGTTTTTCAAAACTTTTAAAAATCCTGACCATTTGTTGCAAATTAATACCTTCAATTTATCAATGCCTGTTGAGTACTTTTATATAAAAACACTATACATTTAGTCTATGGGCATATAAAGATGAATGAACTTAGGGTTTTGTTTTTTTTTTATTCAAGGAGTTTATCTTAAAAGATCTGAAAACATTTATTGTCTAACACTTAATATTTTGTATCCTTTGAATACTTTTCAAAATATCAAAGACTATGAAAGTTTCATAGGAATTAAATTTCATTGTTCAATAGGACTATATAGTCATCTTTGACCCTATAAAGATGTATTTTAAATATTTCATAGGAAAATACTGGGTGGAGGTTAAGCGTGGTCCATTTTTGCTAGTGTTACAGAAGTTGTGATATTATTGTGGTGTTATTTAGGAAATGTCTAAAATGAGAATCTCAAGATAAAAACTAAAGGTACTATCTAGGATAGGATATGTGAAGAGTTGAACATTGAAAAAAATCTTTGGCTAACAAGAATTCATTCGTAATAGGTGATCAAATTACTCAGTTTTGCCAAAATTTAACTTTTAATGATTTGACATTTTGATGGATTAATTTCTATGGACATTAGCCATTTTTTCTGTCTCATCTATAGCTACGTGTGCATTGTACTGTATTTACTGTTTTCTATGGTCATGTCATCATTTTGAAGTTCCTGCTCTCCAACACACACTTACTTGATACTGCTTTTGTCAATGATCTTGATCTTAATTTTAACACTGAAATCAAAACTCAATGTGTAAGGGAAAAAGTAGTTCATTTTTTCCAGGCATATTCCACTGTTATATCTTTATTTGAATGCTTTCCTTTTGTAAACTGCAGAACTGCTAATGCAAGCCCTTAGAGATGTGAGAGTTACATATAACCTAACCAGAATATAAACTGTACAGTTTTAGAACACGTTTTTGTCAGATGGTATTTCATGTGGTTCATTAATGATAGTGGGAATTTGGACTGTCTTTTGCCAAATGTAAGCTGAAAATATTTGCATTACTTGCATATACAATTTGCTTATATCTAACTATTACCCTGAACTTAGATCACAGATCACCCAACTCTCTGTTAACTGTTCTTTTTCTCATATTCATTTGTTTCCTTCCATTCATGTGGCAGCCTCTTTCACTCTTCAGTCTATTTAGCTATGCTTTGTTCTGTGTATGTGTGAGAATAGTAGTATTTTTGACAGAACTCCACATCAGGAAAAGAGATGTCATATTCTTCCAGTTAAAGATATAGTTTGAGTTCCATACTGGACAACTTGGGAAGAGGTTAATTTTAAAAACTATAACTTTTTTGTCATTACTGAAATTATTTTAAGATAGAAGGATTCTTAATTTTATTCTTTAAACTAGCCTCAATTCAACATCTTCCATGTACTACATTCTCAGATTTTATTTTATTTTTATTTTTAGAGACAGAGTCTTCACTCTGTGGCCCAGCTTGGAGTGCAGTAGTTCCATCATAGCTCACTGCAGCCTCGAACTCAGCTCAAGTGTTCCTCCCACCTCAGCCTCCCAAGTATCTGGGACTACAGGCACACTCCACCATGCCTGGCTAATTTTTAAGTTTATTGTAGAGATGGGGTCTCTACATCTCTATTGTAGAGATGGGCTCAAGTGGTCCTCCTACATCAGTCTCCCAAAGTGCTGGGATTACAAGCATGAGCCACTGCACCCGGCCCTTTCCCAGATTTTAAACCATTTAGACCCAAGCAATCCATGTTCACACTTTTGTTTGTTGTACTGGGAGAATAAATATTTGTTCGTTAAAATGACATCCTTCTGAATTGGGTAATACTACTGGTAAAGTTGAATTCGGATATTTATTTTACATTATTTCTAAGATGGCCAATGTGGAAAATTAAGTTGGAATGAAAGTATAGATTTTTCTCTGCATTAACAATTTGGGTGCTTTGGGAAACTTTTTCAACAAATATTCTGGAAAAAATACAGTTTTGATGTAAATTAGAGAAGTATATACTGGTGAAATATATCCTTGGATACATACAGATAAGAAAATTATTTAATTGATAAAAAGGTTGTTAATTGGAAACAGCTAATTTTGCTCCAGCCATAGTTGCTCTTCCTTTGAGAAACCGTTAGTTTCTTTTTCTTTTTCCTATTTTTTTGTGTTTTTTTTAAATTATTATCTTTTGAGATACAGTCTCTGTCACCCAGGCTGGAGTGCAATGGCACAATCATGGCTCACTGCAGCCTTGACCTCCTGGCCTCAAGTGATCCTCCCACATCAGCCTCCCAAGTAGCTGGGACTACGGATGTTTGACACCATGCCCTGATAATTTTTTTTTTTATCTTTTGTAGAGACAGGGTCTCAATATGTTGCCCAGGCTGGTCTTGAACTCCTAGGCTCAAGCAATCCTCTCACCGCAACCTCCCAAAGTGCTGGGATTGCAAGTGTGAGCCACCACACCTGTTGGATTCTTTCTCTTAGGTATTTTTCTGTCTTTTGCCTTCCTGAGATGAGAAGCCTAGTTTTGGTGAGACAGGATAGTGTTTTTTTCTCTTCTGTCTGTGCGACTTTGCTCCCTGAAGCTTTCTGTCAGTATTTGCATTATGAAAATTAGGTTAAGGGCCTGGTTTTCTAATGAGTCTATTTTAGATAGTCACACCACCCAGTGCCATTTATAGTGGGAAGAAACAACTGTCTCAACTTTTCTTCCTACTTCAGTGCTATGAGACTGAAAAGACTCTGAGAAGAGAAATTGAGATCCTTGGGGCAGGACATAAAAAAGTAAGATAGAAACAACAGCCTTCTCTGCCTTTTCCTTGCTAAGAGATAATACACAAAACTCCCAGATTTAGGTATAGGTTCCAGAAGCAGCTAGGATTCTATTAATACATCCCTATTACTCTGGTTGCAAGACTTCAGGTTTTTCTAGTTAGGAAAATGAGGGTAGACCAGCCAACACTGTGGAACTTTTCAAATAGACTGCCAATTTTTGCCTCAGTCACCTGCTGGAGATAGGAAAGTCAGTAATACTCACTTTTCAAGTCTAGTTGCTGTCAGCCTAGCTCTTGAAAAACAGCTGGAAGCATGGAAGCATGGCTTTCCTCCAGCCCTGTGGCCTACATGATGTTTCAAAGGATTGTTTAACAGGTCTAAAAACTGATTATGTGAACGAAAAATAAAATTCTAAGCCCCCCAACTGACTGAATGGACCCCTTCTTGGCTAAGGAATTCCAAGAAACCTGAACAACTAGTTCAAGCCATCACAGGACGAAGGGGTTGGACATACCTTGTTACATCCTCCCTTTGAAGTTCAGGAACAACTGACCAGCATTAATGTGAAAATAGAGATCGTAACAGTGACAAAACAGACTCTAGCAATAAGATACCAAATTCCAACCTGACTCTGGTACAGGATCACATAACAGCAGGCCCTGAAGGAAATCAAAGCATTTTACCCCAAAATAAATTTCTTTGACATATTTTGAAATGGCCCTGCAAAGCTGTCTCTTGTGAACGAAATCTGCATTCTGTAGAGAATCTCCTTCCCTTGCTAGGTCTTTTCCAGAGTCTGACACCTTTTAAGTTTCGACAAGAGATATTTACCATCTATTCTGTCTGAAGCCTGCTACATGGAGGCTTCATCTACATAAGAATCTTGGCTTCCACAGCCTCCCCCAACTTTAACATTTATTTATGCTGACTTCAACTCTTCAGTCAAAGCTTAACTCCTTCAACCAATTGCCCAGGTAGGAAATCTTGGAATCCACCTATGACCTGGAAGCCCTCCCACATCAAGATGTCCTGCCTTTCTGGGCTGAATCAATGTATACCTTCCATGTATCAATTTCTGTCTTTGCTTGTAACTTCTGCCTTCCTAAAATGTACAAAACCAAGAACTGTAACCCAAACACGTTGGGCGCATGTTCTCAAGACCTCTTGAGGCTGTGTCATGGGCGGGGTCCTTAACCTTGGCAAAATAAGCCTAAATCGATTGACATCTGTCTCAGATACTTTTTGGTTTAAATTACAAAGTATTTTATAAGCACTATTATAGACCTGGGTACATGTATTTGTTGGTATTTGTGCAAACACAGGTGAGTAAAGTCCAGTCTTAAAATCATCTCATATTACAGAGCATAATGCATCAAAGTACTTTGTAATTCTCAATACTCAGCAATGTACCTGATGTTAAGTAATCTGTAAAATAAATCATGTATTAATAGTTGCCATTAGGTAAGAGAAATAGCTACACTTGCCAAGCACTATAGGTTGTACTTTGTTTTTCTACTTAATCCTCTTTACAGCACTGTGAAGTTGCTAGTATAAAACCCATTTTGCAGATGAGGAAATGAGGTCATTTCAACTTTGTATTGAAGATCCTGTAGTAGACAGAATAATTGATGAATCATGAATCAAAGAAATACTAGAAAACGCCAGATGACTCTTGGTAACTGCTGCCTCTGGCCTTTTTTTTTTTTTTTTTTTTTGAGAGGGAGTCTAGCTCTATCACCCAGGCTGGAGTGCAGTGGGGCAATCTTGGATCACTGCAACCTCCGCCTCCAGAGTTCAAGCGATTCTCCTGTCTCAACCTCCCAAGTAGCTGTGATTACAGGCATGTGCCACCACATCCAGCTAATTTTTACATTTTTAGTAGAGATGGGATTTCACCATGTTGGCCAGGCTGGTCTTGAACTCCTGACCTCCAGTGATCCACCTGCTGCCTCAGTCTCCCAAAGTGTGGTATTACAGGCATGAGACACCACACCTAGCCTGGGCATATATTTAAACCTCGTAAGGGAAGAGCCCAAAGTGCAGAGAACTGGCGTCAGCAGTCACATATTATGACAATGTTGAGTTTGACTAATCTTCCTTCTTTGACCTGTTTATACGAGAATAGGGTATATGAAAGAAGAAGGTACCTTTTTTTTTTTCCGCATAATAAGCACTATTCAAATTTGTTAACAGCAATATCAGTGGTTGAAGTGGAATTTGGACCTAGTTTATTTGGGGTGTTTTGATGTGCAGATTGTTCCAGTAACATAGAAAGATTGCAACTAACTCTTGATTCTGCACACTACTGCAATAAAAAATGTTTTGAATATGCTTCTACCCTTTGGCCTTCTCTGTAGCCATTGGCCTCTATAATTCTCGGCTTCCATAATTGCTGAGGCTGAGAAGTTGCATGCTTAGCAGGAAATGGAAAGGAAAAGAAAGTGTCAGCCTCTTCTATGACCTTTTCTAAGACAAATCAATTCTGTTTCTCCAGGCTCAGCTGACTGTACTATGCACCTGGTCTAGAAGGCTTTCTTAGTTAACCAGGAGGGTGGGACAAGTTAATTGATTCTTCTGCTGTCCCTTAGAAATGTATTTGTAGAATTTTAAAGCAAAGCACATCTCAGACCTTGTTGGAAATTCAAAGTTGTTTGGATTTCAGAATAATGGGAACTATAGTTATATTGTTTATTTATTTTCCCTTCCATTGCTTTTATAACCCTTTTGAGCAATAACTACCTAACAGGCATGGGATTAGGGACTGAAGATAAAATATTTTTTGCCCTCAAATATTTTATGTACATGCATAGAGTGTATGTGTTAATTGTTAGTCCTGTTTTAGAAACAATGTCCCTTAGGAAGTCTTCCGTCTTAGGAGGATTCCCAAAAGAAGGATGGTTTCTGTTCTTGAATTAGAATTTTATGTCTGTAATCTACCCTCCACCCCATCTCTATTTAGTGAAGTAGTTGTAATCTGCATATGCCAGCCCTCATAGGCTCACTCCTGTAACTCAACTATAGAGTCCATAAAGCCAGGCTCATTGCACACACAGCAATGGCAGCTGGCAGATGTTTATCAGATATCTATGATGCAGAATTTTATGGGGGATGAAGAAGGCAAAAATTTGCTGCAGACTTGTCAGAGGCAAGTTGCATATGTTGCCCATGACAATGATCTCTGTCCTACTCCATCTTATAAACTGAGTATGCCACTTTGACTGTCATCACAACAATTTGTGTGACAGCAAACACCACATGACCACCAGTTGTTTTTATATCAGTAAAATATTATTACATACAGACATTGCTAGAAAATATTTCCCAATCTGAGGACCTGACTATAAAATTTGATCTCCCAGTGATGACCTTGCCCAAATGTGGCATCACCTGGGGACTTGGGAGCCGATATGTGAGCTTTGTTTATATATCTACTTCTAATTCATTTTTCTGAACCTCGGTTTGGGGGGTATGGCAGGAGGGAGTTGGTCAGGAGGGCTGTTTCTTGTCCTTTCTAAGATCTGATTCAGTTCCCACTCCCATTTGTAGCTGGATCTTCCCTTTCCTTTACCCTTTTTGTCCCTGTCCTATTTAATAGGGATTTTTATTCCCAGGGGAGTCTCCTCAAAGCAGGGGTGTATCCTGGAAGGGGACTTCAGCTGGTGAAGTTTGAGAACTCCTAGGGCCCACCAGCTCAAGTCCTTTCATCACTTAAGGTAAACCTATTGTACAACAGCTGTTGTCTGTTGGTCCTCTGCATTTTCAATGAGTACCTTTGGGTGACTTGGAGTTCCTCAGTTCTTAGGTCCATTAGCTACCCAAAGCTGCCTTCTGCTGCTTTCTACAAAGATGATGTTTATGCAGTGGGGGTCTTATAGCCGTCAGTGGCTTATCACACACTCTCAGATTTGGAAATTCTTGGGTGTCAGATCCAAGAGAAGTTTCTCTTCAAAAGTTTAGTTTGTTTAGTTTATTTGTTCTCTACTTTCAAGGTCCAACTTCCTTACCCTTGGGCCTCCCTGCTCCTAGTTCCAGTAAACAACTCTCCCGCCAGTCCTTATCCACAGAGCCCAGATCTACTACTCACTCTGTAATTTACCCCTCCCGCTGTGACGACTCTTCCTGCCAAAGCTGTCTTTCAAGTTAGCCAATCGGGTTCAGTTTAGATTGTGCGGTCCAACTCCAGCCAACGAAGACAGGACACAGTAGTAGAGACAAGCTGCATTAGGAATAAAAACCCTTCTCTCCTTTGTTCAACGTGCTCTTGCAATCAGACAGATGCAGGCAGCACCCCTTCTGCAAAAGTAAGTTTGCCTTGCTAAAAAATTTTCTGTCTAAGTGCTGGTTTCTCGTTGCGGCACCAAGCACTTTTTACTAACATTGGGGATAATTTGTCACATAGTTTTGTTGTAGATGTTGTCTGTGGGTTTTTTCATTTTATTTAAGACTAGTCAAGTGTAGTAGTGAGAAGAGGGAAGAAATAGAAACGAGGAGTTTGATCTGTGACTGATCAATTAAAACAGCTCCCTTCACGCCAGCCTTTTTTTTCTATTTTCTCTCTTTCCTTTTTTTTTTTTTTTTTTTTTTGAGATGGAGTCCCTCTGTGTTGCTCCAACTCATCTCAAACTCCTGGGTTCAAGTGATCTTCCCGCCTCAGCCTCCCCAGTATCTGTGAGTACAGGCACATATCACTGTACCCATTTGCCACTTTAGTTGCTGTTTTTATGCAGGGTGGGGGTGATGGGTTGGAAAGATTTTTAAAATCATGTCATCACCATCATATGAGAATTTTCTTAAGTCTTTTAGAGGATTGCATGTTGAATATATTTTAATGTACTTATATGTACTTATTCATCATTCATATATCTTCTTTGGTAAAGTGTCTGTTCAAATATTTTGCCCATTTTAAAAGTGTGTTGTATGAGGAAGGATGACTGACTAGATGCATTTTGTACTTGCCTTCTCCACTACGAGAAACCAAAATAGTGAGTAAATAAATCACATTTTAAATAGATCATCTGAGAGAACACTGGAAGTCAACAGAAAAGTGACAGGAAACACCTAAGGCAAGGAAGGAGAGGAAAGTAAGGTAGGCTGCTTGGCTGGGATCAGCTGGGAGCCAGGAGAGACTCCCCAGTGTGGTGAAAGGGTAAGTGAGAAACCCCCAGTAGACCACATTCCCACCACAATATTCTTCTATCTTAGCCCTCCCAGGCCCTGAAACTAACAGAGGGAGCTACCTGGAGACCATGCAATGGCACAGCTTCGAGGATGGAGCTTGCATCGGGTCCCATGTCCCCCCCTCCACCAAACCATAAGCATCTACAGCAAGGCACCATTTTGAGAGCCTGGCCCCCAACAGGCTACACATTGCCCTGGGGCTCAGCAGCTCCAGGGCTAAGGCACAGGTGAAGCATGGACTGCTGCCATCAGGGCTGAAGCACAAGTAGGGTGATTGTGCCCTATCCTCCCCAGTGGCAGGGCCACAGCATGACTGCTGCCACCTCACTCGAGCATTCCACCAGGGGCCTTGAGATTGCCCCACCACTGCCTACCATGGCAGGCACCTGCACACACCATCAGGTGGCCTGAGGATAAGTCTGCTCAGACTGGCTTGGCCCCCATCCCATGTCAGAGCATGTAATCTAGGGGCTTAGGGATTGCCAAGCCCAGCCCACCACCACTGGCACCTAAGCACTCCTCTAGGGGGCCTGAGATTGATCCTACCCAACCTGCTGCTACCACCACAGCTGGCACCAACCTGCACATGCTACCTGGGGGCCTGGAAACTAGCCTACCCAGGCTATCACAGCCACCACCAATAGCAGCACATACCACTTGGGACCCAGAGAGTCATCCCAGTACTGCTACTGCCATTGCCTAGAACATGCCAACTGCCCAGAGGCCTGAGAACATGCTCACCCCCACAGCTACCATTGCTGCCACTACTGGCATTCAGACAAGCCGCCTGGAGGCTCAAGAACTGGCCTGCCTGGACTTGCTGACACTGGTGCCAGCATATGCCACCTTGGGACCCAAGGACAAGCAGGCTCAGCCCACTGGGGTCTGAAGACTGGACCATGAGGGATCTCAGTCCCCAGCAAAACTTCACCACAGTCTCCCTTAATAACTGTACCCTAAGCCATCAAGGAAATCATAGATACTACTGATGCTGCTTACAGCCAAAGAAATCATACAGAGACTATCCTACTGCTTGCACCTAGAATTAAAGTCAATGTGCACTCCCCAACAAAAACCATAGATACATCTTCAGGAAAAAGTCCTCCCATACTAAAGCAAATTCATAAAGTTGAAAGAAATGACTGTTACACAACATGTACAGATACCAATGTAAGAACACAGGAAACATTGAAAATGCAAGAAAATATGACATCTTCAAAGAAACAATAGTTCTCCAGGAACAGATCCCAATCAAAAACAATCCTGGAAAAAGAATTCAAAATAAAGAGACAGATATCATAAAAAGGAACCAAACAAATTCTGGAACTGAGGAATTCAGTGAATGAAATACAAAATGCATTCAAAAGCTTCAACAATAGCCTAGATTAAGCAGAAGAAAGAACATCAGAATTTGAAGATATAAGTCTCTTGAAATAACCCAGTCAGACAAAAATAAAGCAAAAAATAAGAGAGAGAGAAAAAAGCCTGTATGACATATGGGACACTAGAAAGCAACCAAATATTTAAACTTTTGGAGTCCCAGAAGGAAAAGAGAAAATAAAAATGTTAGAAAACCTATTTAACAAAATAATAGCTAAAAACTTCTCAAGACTAGCAAGAAATGTAGACATCTAGATACTTGAGGCTCTTGAGAACCTCAAGCAAATACAATGCAAAAAGGTCTTCATGGTACATTATAGTCAAACTGTCAAAAGTCAAAGACATAGAGAATTCTAAACACAAGAGTAAAGCATCTTGTCACCTATAAAGGAACCCTCATCAGACTAACAGCTGACTTCTCAGCAGAAACCTTATAGGCCAGGAGAGAATGGGATGATATATTCAAAATGCTGGAAGAAAAGCTGCCAGCAGAAGACATACCCAGCAAAATTATCCTTCATAAATGAAGAACAAATAAAGTATTTCCCAGATAAGCAAAAGCCAAGGGAATTCATCACCACTAGACTGATCCTGCAAGAAATGCTTAAGAGAGGTCTACACCTGGAAGTGAAAGAATGTTAGCTGCCATTATGAAAACACATGAAAATATAACAACTCCTGGTAGAACAAAGACACAAATAAAGGAAAATAAGACTCAACTCTTACCACTAAAGAAAATCACCAAACCACAACGATAGACAAAGCGAATGAAAGGAACAAAGGATATACAAAACAACCAGAAATTATTTAATAAAATGAAAAGAATAAACCTTTACATATCAATAATAACCTTGAATATAAACAGATTAAACTTTACACTTAAAAGATACTGACCAGCTGAATGGATTAAAAACACATAGGCCAACTATATGCTGACTACAAGAAACTCATCTTACCTGTAAGAGACATAGAAAGTAAAGGGATGAAAAAAGATATTCCATGCAAATTGAAATGAAAAGCAAGCAGAAGTAGCTATGCTTACATCGGATAAAGCAGACTTTAAGTCAAAAACTGTAAAAAGAGACAAGGTTACTATATAATGATAAAGGGATAAATTCAGTAAGAGGATATAATAATTCTAAACATATATGCACCCAACACCACAGAAACCAGATATATAAAGCAAATATTATTAGATTTAAAGGGAGAGATAGGGGTCAGGCACAGTGGCTCACATCTTTAATCCCAGCACTTTGGGAGGCCAAGGTGGGAGGATTGCTTGAGCCCAGGAGGTAGAGACTACAATGAGCTGTGACTGTGTCTCTGCACTCCAGCCTGGGTGATATAGTTTGGGTGTTTCTCTCTGACCAAATCTCATGTTGAATTGTAATCCCCAATACTGGAAGTGGAGCCTGGTGGAAGGTGTTTTGGTCATGGGAGCAGATTCCTCATGGCTTGGTGCTGTCTTCATGATCATGAGTTCTCATGAAATCTGGTCATTTTAAATGTGTGGCACCAATCCCCTCAATCTCTTTCTTGCTCCTGCTTTCATCATGTGATGTGCCTGCTCCTGCTTCACCTTCTGCCATGAGTAAAAGTTTCCTGAACCCTCCCCAGAAGCTGATGACAGTGCTGTTTCCTATACAGCCTGCAGAATTGTAAGCCAATGAAACCTATCTTCTTTATAAATTTTCCAGTCTCAAGTATTTCTTTATAGCAATACAAGAATAGCCTAACACAGAAAATTGGTACCAAGGAGTTGGATGTTGCTATAAAGATACCCGAAGATTGGGAAGCAGATTTGGAACTGGGTAACAGGCAGAAGTTGGGAGTTTGGAGGGCTCAGAAGAAGATAGGATGATGAGGGAAGGTTTGGAACTTATTAGAGACTGGTTAAATAGTTGTGACCAAAATGCTGATGGTGATATGGACAGTGAAGTCCAGGCTGACGAGATCTCAGATGGAAATGAGGAACTTATTGGGAACTGGAGCAAAGATCATGTGTGTTATGTCTTGGAAAAGAGCTTGGCTGCATTCTGTTTATGCCGTAGAAATCTGTGGAAGTTTGATCTTGAAAGTGATGACCTAGAGGATCTGGCAGAAGAAATTTCCAATCCACAAAGTGTTCAA